>NC_000008.11:39557072-39860102 GCF_000001405.40 Homo sapiens
GTATTTATCCCTTCATCAATAGATGGATATTTGGGTCCTTTCCAGTTTATTTCACTAGAATTTTTTTAGCAAATCCGTAGTTTAAATTGTTAAGTGATAGAAATGATAGATGCTAATACAATGTACCTTTTGAAATTTTCGACATTTTTTATTAACCCCTTTATATGTATGTGTGTGTGTGTGTATATATATATCTATATACACACATTTTGTTTCCCTTTGTCTCACAGATACATAAAAGAGGACATGTTTGCAGGAAAAGCATAGATCTGTGTGGTTTTACAGAATATTACAATGGAACATCTGAGTTTTGTGTACCTGATGTGAAATCTGCTGATTATGAGCTATGCAATAAGACTGCCTATTGTCTTAGAGGAATATTCCAAGATAGGGATGGACAGTGCATGCAATTATTTGGACAATGTAATAATTGTATATTTCTAGGTTCATTTTTAAACTGTAGTTATTCTAAAGTCAGTAATCCATCCTATAACCATGAAAAGAGTGTTGTTTTTTTAAATCCAAATTTAAAAATAAAATTGCAATTTAAAGCAACTTTGAACTATATCAAGAGGTAAAATGGACTTAATAATCACAGGACCAAAAAAATAGAGCATTAGTCAAATATCAGATGACAGAAAGGGAGCACACTATTAGAATAGTAAATAAGAGAGAAAATGACTGATCTCTCAATTATTTCTACACTAAAATATCACTTTTGCTCTTTCTACCCAAGTGGGTAGTTTTTAGCAGGTGTTTCTCCTTTGTGTATAGACAATAATTACATCAAAAAGTTGTGGTGGATGACACTGAATGGGCATTATTGCTATATAGATATCTCCATATTAATTTACTACATTTTTATTTGTAACTAATTTTTTAAAATGAGTAATTGGGACTTCTTTATTTATGTTTTCAGTTGCTCAGGGTGCTCCTTATCTGTGTTCACAAGAAGTGAATTTGCATGCCAACAATTTTGGAAACTGTAAAACTAGTTCCTATAATTTCGAGTACACATTTTTAAACGTATACATTTTTCTAACGTTGGTATGTGCGTGTGTATTTCAGAGGGTCACTTAATACAAATGAGAGATGTAGCATATACAGGTGAGTTTATATTTTGCACTTTATAAAGTGTTGTAGGTTCTGAATATAGTTGGTGGTGTAATCTAAGTAACATTTTGAATTATCATTATATTTTGAGCTGTTATTTACCTAGTATATTGTGTCCTTAAGTGAAAAATGGCTAATTTTTTCTGCCTTATATTCCCAGACGTGTCCTTTGTGCAAAGCTAGTTTGTCACTGGAAAAGTACAGAACTAATACGACATAAAGATGATGATGCTTAATATACTTACCTTGGAAACCATGTATGTGTGTCTACATTTTTACGAAATTCATGTGGTAGCATAAAGGATAACTCCTATGTAAAAAATGGTACTTTTTGTGGTCTAGAAAAGGTAAATAAAAATTTTACTTGATACTATATGGTGTGTTTCTGCATACGCATAACAGTGTGAGTGAGAGAGATAGGCATCTTTACTGTTTTATTACTGTTACACATGTTTATTACTGCATGATCTTGAGATTCAACATCAGAATTCTTGTTGGTCAAAGGAACTCTTATTTTACTACCTGTCATTTTTTATTTTGAATTTTGCCATAGGTATTTAAATTTTTCTCATATTTGAGAACTAAATCTCTTTGTGAGGCAAGAATCTTATCTGAAATAATATGCCTAAACCTAGAACAAAAAATGAAATCAAACAACATTCCAAAAAATAAGGTCAGAAAATCTGAATAATTAGAACATTAAAGAAATACAGAAAAAAAAAACCCAAGTATTTAGTAATTGGCAAGGACTTGTTTAATTATAATGAAAGTAAAATATTTATTTGCTCATCGACCTACTCTCTGAATTCTTTCTCCAAAATCATGACATACCTATTAAAAATTTGGCACGTGCTTAACAGTAAAACATAGAGTTTAAGCTTTACTTATTTTTGAGAGGCATAATAGATGAAGGTTTTTGAACCAGTGCCATTGAAAAATTAGTTGACTGATGAAAAAGTACAAACTTATCACACATTTTACATAATTTTTATATAGAGCCAA
Organism: Homo sapiens; assembly: GCF_000001405.40. Lineage (NCBI taxonomy): Eukaryota > Metazoa > Chordata > Mammalia > Primates > Hominidae > Homo > Homo sapiens. Next base: position 39,559,188 of record NC_000008.11, read on the forward strand.
TATTTTAAGAAAAGAAAAACAAGAGGAAAATGGAAATTAATAGTAAACTTATCTCAGAATGGGAAAAGTTGTTACCACATAAAAATAATGAAGTAATAAAGAAACATTCTTGTGCTGGTTACATTATAAAGGAATATGTCAACCTTTCAAAGGATGACAAAATTGATAAAACAAACTGACAAAAATGTTTACTATAAATATGACAGGGTAAATATATAATTTACAGCTAATTTAATCATCAATTAATTAAAGAAAAAGCACAAAAATGATGTGTATATGTGCTATACTTCAGAAGACATTTGATCTTTGTCCCTGGTTCCTGGTGCAGAGCACCTAAAACTATTAGAATTTCCTGAGTGACAGGCCTGTCCTTTGTTATTCATAATGAGCCCTTTTCAATCAACATCTGAGTTTATGTTAATGCAGTAACTTAGGGTAGGGCCCCTAGATAGCCTCAGGATGGGGCTGGTCACCAGAAAGACCAAGTGATTAGAAGGTTGACACTCTCAGTCCTACCCAATGACCTTTGGAAAGGGACAAGGTGAAGCTGGTGATTGAGCTCCATAAAGACTCTGTATGTGGCTCATGCCTGTAGTCCTGGCTACTTGAGAGGCTGAGGCAGGAGGACTGCTTGAGCCCTGGGGTTCGAGGGAAGCTCCAGTGTGTTTGAATTGTGCCTGTGAATACTCAACTGCACTCCAGCCTGGGCAGCATATGGAGGCCCTATGTCTAAAAACAAGCAAACAAATAAACTTCTGAACAAAGAGATTCAGAGACAGCTTATGGATTGGTGAACACAATGACTTGCTGGGAGGGTGACGTGTCAGGAGAGGGCATGGAAACTCTGCCTGTACCACCTTGTCCCCATCAAATACCTTGCCCAACGCATCTCTTCCAGTGGGCTGCTCCTGAGTTATACCTTTATACTCCTATACTTTTTTTTACAGTTCTATTTTATTTTTAACAGACAAATGACAGTTGTGTATTTGCATGGTATACAATATGATGTTTTGAAACATGTATATACTGTGAAATGAACAAATCAGTCTAATAATTATCATATTCATTACTTCAAATAGCTGTAATTTCCTTGCAGTGAGAACATTTATAATCCCCTTTCGGGTATTTTGAAATATACAATATATTATAATTAAGTATACTCACCTTGTTGTGCAATAGAAGATCCAAACTCATAATTAGCTTTGTACTCACTGACATGTTTTTCTTTTCTTTGTTCACTCCTCCCCTAACTCCTTGTAACCACCATTCTAGTCTCTACTTCCATGAGTTCAACATGTTTAGATTGCACATGTGAGTGAGATTATATTTGTCTCTCTGTGCCTGGCTTATTTTACTTAATGTCATATAGGCTCACCAGTGTTGTTGAAAATGAATTTCCTGTTATTTTTAAGTCTGAATAATATTTCATTGTGTGTGTGTGTGTGTGTGTGTGTATATATATATATACATATATATATATATATGTCTACATTTTTACAAAATTCATGTGTAGCATAAAGGATAACTCCTATGTAAAAAATGGTACCTTTTGTGGTCTAGAAAAGGTAAATAAAAATTTTACTTGATACTGAATGGTGTGTTTCTGCATACGCATAACAGTGTGAGTGAGAGAGATAGGCATCTTTACTGTTTTATTACTGTTACACATTTTTATTACTGCATGATCTTGAGATTCAACATCAGAATTCTTGTTGGTCAAAGGAACTCTTATTTTACTACCTGTCATTTTTTATTTTGAATTTTGTGTGTATGTGTGTATATATATATATATATATATATATACACATACACATACACACACACACACACACACACACACACACATATACACATCACATTAAAAAATATATATGCATCTGTTGATGGACACTTAGGTTGTTTGCATACCTTGTCTATTGTGAATAATACTACAATAAACACGGGAGTCAGATATCTCTTTGGCATACTAATTTTATTTCCATTAGATAAATACACAACAGTGGGACTGCTGGATCATATGATAGTTCTCTTTTTAGTTTTTTGAGGAATCACTGTACTGGTTTTCCAAAATCACTGTATCAATTTACAATGCCACCAACAATGTATAAGCATTCCCTTTTCTCCACATCCTAACCAACACTTGTTATTTTTAATACTTTTGATAATAGCTAATCCGACAGGTTTGATGTGATGCTTCATGTGGTTGTAACTTGCATTTCTCTGATGATTAGAGATATTGAAAATCTAATTGGGTGCTTTCTCTATGTGACTAGGGTTTATCAAATGACAGCCTTCATCTTGGAAGCTGAGTTTAGGCCATGATCGCTAAACAAGATACTATACTAACCACTGATTTAATTGGGTAGTGCTTATTCTAGAGGACAGAACACTCTAGAAGCCTGAATTCCACAGTCTTATGAGTCTAGTTGCTTTAGGAAACAAAATACCCTTCTAAATCTTTGGGATAAAAGTGCTGTGTGAACTGCATTCAGTCATTGAGAGGGAGAGGGAAAAGTGAGTATTGGATGTTGAGAGCAAAGTAAGTTTTGTGTACAGACTTCTGTGGATAAGTCCACATCTTAGCCATCCCTCCCCTTCCTGTCCTTTCAGCTCTTCTCCCTCAGTTTTTCCTTATAATCTTGAGGCTGCAGCTCTTCAAAGCATTGCCAGGCTAATCAACCAGGCTCCTCTTTGCCACTGTCTTTGATATGGTTGCTTTCCCACTTCATTTTATCCATTGTTGATCTTCCTTTTTATTTCGGTATTCCAGGAAGTTCTTACATCTCTCTTCTTCCAATTGCGTCTTTTTGATTCTCCTTTATTCTCTTTTATTGGAAAAAGAGGGCTTTTGTGTTCACCAGCTCTGTCAATTCAAATTGGAATTCTCTGGCTATTTTAAAAATTCATCAAAGGTGTGCTTTGTTTTCATTTGTTGTTCAACATTGTTCAAACGATTTCAGAGAGATAAGAAAGTAGAGACTTCTTTACCTCACCTTCATGAAATGTGGGTCCTTTGTAAAAATTAAATTTAACATATATTTATATTTACCTCTATCCATACATACCTATATGAAAAGATAGATGCACTTTAACATATATCCACATCTACATCTATCTATACCTATATGACTTTAGACAGATGTACTTTATTTCTTATTTGTCAGTATCAATATACATATATCTTATTAATTTGAATAAAGATTATAAATAAAACACTCATAGATTTAACATAGTAATATACTAAGTCAACAGTATACTACATGGAAATAGGCATTTCCAGCAAGGCAAATTTGCTTAATACTGGTTGTGATACAAAGTGCCTTTGAATTTGTTATTTATAAAACTTAAACAGGAGAAGAGGTTATCAAACTGATCCTAGTCCATGTATATTAGCTAGGAGAGATAAGAACATCTAAGTATAATCATTTGATAACTGAAAAGGAATATGCTTCGGGCATATTGATGAGATCATCAACAGAGAGTTTTTCAAACTAATAAGCTAGCCAGTGAATTTAAAAAATAACATTAACTGCCTTTCTTTTACTCATTCTTATACACAGGACTATAAGTAAATATGATATTCAATATTTTATAAATATATTTAATATTTTATAAAGTAATTTAATTTTAATTTACTTCATTGCTTAATTTTTCTATAAAGTTATAAAGTAATAACATATCATTTTGATAGTGACTTCAGGTTCTATTACTACAATGAACAAAAGTCATCAAATCCAAATTTATGTTTGTGTTTATATCTTATGAATATAGTTCTTGTACAAAATACAGTTGCTCAACTCTTGACTTTGCGTTTAAAATTTTTTCTTGTTATTGGTTACTTTAACATTTTAGTTATGTGATAATGGAGTTTGCCAACTTGTGAGCACATATGCAGATAGAAGACAAGGTAACTGGGAAGAAAAATGCGGTGGACATGGGGTATGTAACAGTTACCCTATTTTCAAATAAAGTTATTTTAATCCTTATCAATAACATTTTCAAGGAAAATAATAAGCTAGAGAATTTTCTGATGTAAAAATTTCTTTTAGAAAATTGCAGCTAAATAAAGGTAACATATTCTACTATTTTAACATATATATGTGATTTATATTTACAATCAAACTGTTACAGGCCTGAGAAGCAAATAAGGTTTGAACCTTGTACAAAAATACAAAAGTAAACATAATTCTTTATTATAATGTTAGAGTCAGATTACTATAATGTTAGCTTTAGAATTTTGAAAATGGATTTAATAAGGATTACACACATATATTTATATATACACATACACATTACTCATAATTGAGTGTATGTGTATACAAATATATTTATAAACACTCATACACTTAATGTATTTATCTTATACACATTGCTTATAATCTAAGTTTTTTTGTGGGAGTAGGGTTTCCTGTTCATCTGTTAAACCCTTTAAAGACTTTATTTCCCTGTATGGATCTTGAAAAGTCAATGAATCTGAAAAATCATTTACTGTTGGTCTTTTGGATAATGTTAAATTTTAATGTAACTATTGCAAATAGTAGTACAAGATACATTGTTGTACAATGACCTTTGCACATTTATCTGATAGTTTAAGTTATTAGCAATGAAATGTGATGATCCAAATATATGCACCACTTAAATATTCATAAGTATCATTATCTTCAAGAAATATCATGACTGTTTTTTTTTTTTTGCCACGTATCATATACAGAAATATACACTTCAATATATTCTGGCCAGACTAATTTATCAGTCTGTTAAATACGTTCTAAACATGCTAAATCAATTGTTAATTTGAATTTATTTGATAACTAATAATTGAGTTCTTCAGAATGCATTTGGCTTGCACTTTGGGACCAGTGTCTTCTTCCATACTTGCATTTCATATTTATATAGGTATTTCATATTTATATATGTATATATATTTATATGTATATATTCAGAAAAAAGTGACCTATCTGCATGTCTTAGATCAGAATTTTCTCCTAAATTACTTATATATCCTATTACTTAGAGTTTCTTTTCTTATTCTTTATTATTTAATTTTAATTTACTTTGTTACTTAATTTTTTCATAAGCCTATTTCTGGGTTCCCAATTCTGCCACTGATTGTTTTCTTTTTCTGTTTTTTTTTTTTTCACCTTTTAAGTTCAAGGTTGCATGCACAAGTTTGTTAACATAGGTAAACTTGTGTCTTTGGGGTTTGTTACATAGATTATTTCATCCCCAGGTATTAAGCCTAGTACACATTAGTTATTTTTCCTGATCCTCTCCCTTCTCCAACCCTCCATCCTCCAATAGGCCCCACTACGTATTTTTCCCCTTTATGTGTCCATGTAGTCTCATCATTTGCTCCCACTTATAAGTGAGAACATGTGGTATTTGTCCCTGCAAAGGAGATGGCATTGTTCTTTTTTATGGCTTCATAGTATTCCATGGTGTATAGTTGTAGGTGTGCAGTCTTATTCCTGAATTCTCCATGTTGTCCCTTGGTCTATGTGTCCGTTTTTGTACCAGTACTATGCTGTTTTGGTTACTATAGCTCTGTAGTATAGTTTGAATTCAGGTAGTGTGATGCTTCCAGCTTTGTTCTTTTTGCTTAGGATTGCCTTGGATGTTTGGGCTCTTTTTTGGTTTCATATGAATTTTAAAATAGTTTTTTTTCTAGTTCTGTGAAGAGTCTCGATGGTAGTTTAATAGGAATAACATTGAATTTGGAAATTGCTTTGGGCAGTATGGCCATTTTTGCAATATTGATTCTTCCTATTCATGAGCATGGAATGTTTTTCCATTTGTTTGTGTCACATCTGATTTATTTGAGCAGCGGTTTGTAATTCTCCTTGTAGAGATCTTTCATCTCACTAGCTAGCTATATTCCTAAGTATTTTATTCCTTGACAATTGTGATTCCTTGATGTTCATCAATGAAAAAATCCTCAAGAAAATACTGGCAAACCGAATCCAGCAGCAAATCAAAAACCTTATCCACCATGATCATCTAGGCTTTATGTCTGGATGCAAGGCTGGTTCAACATACACAAATAAATAAATGTGATTCATCACATAAACAGAGCTAAAGACAAAAACACATGATTATCTCAATAGATGCAGAAAAGGCTTTTGATAAAATTCAACATCCATTCATGTTAAAAACACTCAATAAACTAGGTATTGAAGGAACATACCTCATAATAAGAGCCATCTATAACAAACACACAGACAACATCATACTAAATGGGCAAAAGCTGGAAGCATTCCCCTTGAAAACTGTCACAAGACAAGGTTGCCCTCTCTCACCACTCACATTCAATGTAATTTTGAAAGTTCTGGCCAGTGCATTTAGGCAAGAGAATGAAATAAAGAGCATTCAAATAGGAAGACACGGAGTCAAATTGTCCCTTTTTGCAGAGGACATGATCCTATATCTAGAAAACCCTATAGTCTCAGCCCAAAAGCTTCTTAAAATAATAAACAACTTCAGCAAAGTCTCAGGATACAAAATCGGTAGGAAAAATTACTAACATTCCTATACAACAACAACAGTCAAGCTGAGGGTCAAATCAGAAGTGAACTCCCATTCACAGTTGCCACAAAAAGAATAAAATACCTAGGGATACAGCTAACTAGGGAGGTGATCATTTTCTTATTCATCCACTACATCACATTTGAAATATTTTTTAGTTTTACATATAAATGTTGATATCTGTATCCGAAAGCACACTTGCCCTTTGTTTTTGTTTGCTTGTTTGTTTTCATAAAAGTTGGCTCTGATTGCAGCTATTTTACTTAAACCTATCACAATTCAGAATACATTTTTACTTCAATCACAACATAGTTTCTAGCTTCATAATTTCTATGCCTTTCTAGCATAAGGCATTTCAATCGTATCAAGAATGTTATCTAGTTTTATTTAAAAATGCAAGAGACAAGCCCTTGCATTTTGTGGTGGCTCACTTCTGTAATCCCAGCACTTTGGGAGGCCGAGGCAGGTGAATCACCTGAGGTCAAGAGTTCGAGACCAACCTGGCCAACATGATGAAACCCCATCTCTACTAAAAAGACAAAAATTAGCCAGGCAAGGTGGTGCTGCCTGTAATCCCAGCTACTCGGGAGGCTGAGGCATGAGAATCGCTTGAACCCAGGAGATGGAGGTTGTAGTGAGCCAAGATTATGCCACTGTACTCCAGCCTGGGCAAGAGAGCAAGGGGAAAAAAATATAAGAGACAAGAGGAAACCTTTATGATACTTAGGTATTGCATGAATATTTATCATATTAATATTTTTTCACATGAAAATAAAAACTTATAATAAAATATACTATATTATTATAATAAATCAAATTGTATTATAAATATAAATTATAAAATACTTATAAATAATTTATATTGTATACAATTAATTATATATTATATTTTATATATTATAAAATTATATTATAATTTACATTAACTGTCACAAATAATTTAATTTTTATGTTGTATATATATAATGCTCTTATTTTATTTGCTTTTGGTTTTAGGTTTGCAATACTCTGAATAATTGTCAACGTGATGTTGCATATTCTCCTCAAACTTGTAGGCAAGATAGTTCATCACCAGGAGGAAGTATTGATGATGGGTTTTGGATTTTAGGTTAGTCTCTAGATCTATGTTCCAATAGAGGTTTCTGCTCTCAAAGAAATGGTCTACATCTCTGCTGTCCTATGTGGCTATTGAGCACCTGACGTGGATGGTACAACCAAGGAACTGAAATTTCAACTGTATTTTACTTTAATTTAAATTTATATAACCATTTGTGGCTAGTGGCTGGTATATTGGATAGTGCAGCTCTAGATTGTACTGTCAACCAAACTTTTCTGTACTCTTAATTTTCATCCAGAAGTCAACATTTGAAGAATCCTTTCCTCAGCTTAATTATTAACTGAGGTCCCAAGAGCATTTCTATTTATTTAAACTTCAAAGGACCTGCCAAACCATTTTCCAGAATGGCTGTGTCATTTGACATTCCCACCAATAATATATGAATGACCCAATTTTTTGGCATTCTCACTAACATTAGATGGTATCATTATTTTTTAAGCCATTCTAATAGGAGTATATTAATATCTATTGTCGTTTTAATTGTGCTTCCTTCAGTATGTAGTGATGTTAAACATGTTTACTGTGTTTATTTGGTATCTGTATATTCTCTTCAGGGAAAAGTCTATTCATATATTTTGCCCATTTGTAAAATTGGATTGTTTGTGTTTTTTTAATATTGCATTTTGAGAAATTTTACATTTTCTAGATACAAGTATTTTTTTGAGAATACGTTGCTTCACACGTATTTTCTTCAAGTCTGTAATTAATTTTTTCAGATTAATTATTTTTTAAGTTTTATTTTGATAGGGCATTTTTTTTTCCAGTTTAGGATCATGCTATATTGAACTCTCTACCTGTCCTAAGTTCTAAAGATTTTTTGCAATGATATTTCTAAAAAATATAGTTCTTTATTTTTCATTTAGGTTCATTATATATTTTGAGTTATTTTTATGAAAGATGGGAGATACTAAGACAACACTAATTTTTTTATTTATGGATGTCCAAGTTTTCCAGCAGCATTTTTTGAAAAAGCTATTACTCATCCATTGAATTTCTTCTCTCACCTATGTCCCAAACATTGGATAGATTTCTGTTGGTGTATTTCTTAATCCTCTCTTCTTATCTTTTGATCTTTGCGTCATTTTCTCCACCAGTACCACACTGCTTATTATAGCTATGTCATAATTTTTAACATTGTAAAATAATACTTGTTCTTCAAAGTCATTGTGCCTATTTTAGAATTTCTCCTTTCATATGTATTTTAGAATGAGCAGAATAAGCTTATCTATGTTTATAAAATATCTTGCTGTGATTTCGATACAAATTGTATTAAACCTATAGACCATTTTTGGAAGAATTTGCCTCTCTTCTATTATTGAATCTTCCGGTTTATGGACATATGTATCTCCCTGCATTAGTCTGTTATCACACTGCTATAAAGATACTACCTGAGACTGGGTAATTTACCAACAAAAGAGAATTAGTTGACTCACAGTTTCACATGGCTTGGGAGGCCTCAGAAAACTTACAATCATGATGGATATGATGGGGAAGCAGGCACCTTCTTCTCAAGACAGCAGGAGAGAGAAGAGAGAGAGAGAGAGAGAGAGAGAGAGAGAGAGAGATTGAGATAAGGGGAAACAGCCACACACTCATGAAGCAACCAGATCTCATGAGAACTCCACCATGAGAACAGCATGAGGGAAACCACCCCCATGATCCAATCACCCTACCAGGTCCCTCCCTCCACACATGGGAATTACAATTAGAGATAAGATTTGGTTGGGGACACAGAGCCAAACCATGTCACTCCATTTATATAGGTCTTCTTAGATTTCTTTCATCAGAATATTGTAACTTTCAAAAATACATGTTTTGTTGTTTCATTATTGAGTACTTCATTTTCTTTAGAGCAATTATAAATGATTTTTTTTTTAAATTTTCACTTGTTCACTGTAAGTATACAGATACGCAATTAATTTTTGGGTGTTGATCTTGGATTCTGCAACATAATAGAATTCATTTTTAGTTCTGAGGTTTTTTTCTAAGTACCTTCAGATTTCTATGTAGACTATCATGTTATTTTTAAAAACAGATAGTTTTTTTCAGTATAAATCCCTTTTATTTCTTATTATATTGGCTAGAATTGAAGTGAGAGTAAAGATTCTAGCTTTAATAATGATTTTAGGAGGAGAATAATTCAGGCTTTTACTATCAAGTCTGATGCTAGCTGTAGGGATTTTGCTTTGTTTTGTTTGGAGATAATCCTTATGAGTTTGAGGAAATTTCTCTCAATACCTAGTTTCTGAGATAGTTTTTTAATATATAGCATTGGGTTTTATGAATGTATTTAGTTTCAATGGCTAGGATCATATGATTTTACCTTTTTGTCTGTTGACATAATGGATTACATGAATTTTGGATACTGAACTAATCTTGACTATCTAAAATAAATTCTTCTTGTCTATAATCTATTATTTTATCGTTAGTTATATTTTTATAAAGATAATATTCTTATTATTGCTTTTATTATTTATTTTGATTATCTATTATTTATTGCACATTACTAAATTTGACTTGTTAATACTTTGTTGAGGATATTTGTATTTTTTTTAAGATAATGGTTTATATCTGTCATTCTTTCTTCATTGTACTGTCTTTATTTTGTTTAGGTATCAGTAATACTAGCCTCACAAAATGAGATGTGAAGTATTTACTTCTATATTCAATATTACTTAAAATCGACAGTATTGCTTTTTAAAGAACATTTTCCAGTTAATTCTCATGGGCCAGTAGATTTCTTTTCAGGGAGTTTTTGAATTTTTAAAACAATTATTTTTAAATTTAAAGACAAAATTGCATATATTTATCATGTACAACATCTCATATATTGATCATTTTGGTCATGAGAACATTTTAAATCCACTCTCTTTGCATTTTTAAGAACACATCTTTATTTTCTTAATACATATGTAGCCATTCATAGCATCCATTTCATATTAGCTGAGTTGAGTAGTTTGTACTTTCTGAATAATTGGTCTAAATAATTCTTTTCTACTTCTATCAAATACTGAGACAGAAGTTTTTAAAAGCTCCAATCATGATTGTGGATTTATTTCTGTATTTGTTATTTCACTGTATTTTTCATTCCATCTTGAATCTTCATTAATTGCTGCATTCATTGGATTTTAATGTTTTCGTGTGGAATAGCTTCTTTTATTACCTCTGTAATGTATTTCTTCATATTTGTCTTGAAGTCTACTTTATCTGAAAATAACCCTCAGAGGTCATCTTTAACCTGGGGCCCATTAAATCTTTATTTTGTGTCCTTTAAAAGTCATATCACAGATTATTTAGAGAAGTAGGAATAAAAGTAGCAAAAACCAGCTTTATAAAATCTTAAATTGAAATTTAAACATAGAAAATCAACTTTTTAGTCTACATTTTTATTGTATTTCAATATGAATGAGATGAGATTAGTGCACTTGTAAAAGAGATCCCAGTGAAATTCTTCACCCTTTCCACAAGTGAGGTTATAGCAAGAAGATGGCTATCTATGAATGAGGAAGCAGGCCCTGACCACACAATGTCCCTAGCACCTTGATCTTGGACTTCCTAGCTCCAGAACTGTGAGAAGCACAATTCTGTTGCTTATAAGCCACCAAGTCCGTGATATTTTTGTAATAGCAGCCTAAACAGACTAAGATAATTATCATTACAGATTAGAGTCTTGCTTTATGTTTCTTTGGATTTGTCTGATTCATATTGTGTAATGTCTTCTTGTACTGATTTTTAAAAATTATTATGGGCAGTACAGAAAAATCTGAATTCTCACTTGTGTTCAATAATAGCTAAAATAAATAGACAATTTGTCTTCAAGACTCTTCTGTACCTTCTTGAAAACTGACACATTACTTTGGAAAACAAATTAAGAAAATGAAAGATTTACAAAGAAATAAAAAAGGATCCCAGGAATAAATCCTTTCTCGTATATGGTATAATAATTTTCAACAACACCAACAAGACCATTTGATAGAGAAAGGACAATCTTTTTAAAAAATTGTGTTGGGAAAACTGGATAATCACATGCAAAAGGATGACATTGTACCCATGCTTGTACTATACACAAAAAAATAACTCACAATGGATTCAAGATCTAAACGTGAGTTTTAAAACTATAAAAATATCAGAAGAAAATACAGGGGGAAATCTTCATGACATTGGATTTGAAAATAATTTCTTGTATATGACATCAAAACCATAGAAAACAAAATAAAAAATAGATAAATTGGAGTTTAATAATTAAGAATTGTGCATTAAAGAACACATTCAACTGAGTAAAAAAGAAATATATGAAATGGGAGAAAATATTTGAAAATTATATATCTGATAAATATCCAGAATATGTCAAAAATTCCTACAGCTCAAAACAATAAAACCCGTTAAAAATGGGCCAAGGACTTGAATACAGACATTTCTTCAAAGAAGATATATAGAACACTAATGAGTACATGAAAGAAGATATATAGATGACTAATGAGTACATGAAAGAAGATATATAGATGGCTAATGAGTACATGAAAATATATTTACCATCACTAACCTTTAGAAAAACGCAGGTCAAAACTATAATGAGATAACAATTTTAACCTACTAAAATGGCTAGTATAAAAAAATTTTAAAAAATTGTGTTGACAAGAGTGTGGAAAAATGGAAAGCCTTGCACATAACTGATGGTATGTAAAGTGATCCAGGCTTTGTGGAAAATATTCTAGTGGTTCCTCAAAAAAAGAAGCACAGAATTACCATATTAGCCAGCAATTTGCATATACATATAAACCCAAAAGTATTGAAAGCAGAGACACAGACAGATATTTTTGCATCCATTTTCATAGCAGCATTATTTCCAATAGCCAAAATAGCATGGAAATAAACTTTTCTCATACATGAGGCAGTGAAGAATCTTAAAAGCATTGAGCTCTACCATAGTTTAAGGTTGCTGCATGTTTGCTTAATTTCAACAGTTTTGCATTGCAATTCATTTCTTATATAAAACATTCTGAATCACTTTTCTTTAGACAAATCACTTTGAATCAAGATATCATTGGATTGTCTGCCTGTATGTGTGTGTGCATGCATGCAAATGTGTTTTAAAGTTACTGTTTCCTTGTCTTTTTTGATGGTTACTAAATTTATTTACATTTAATGTCATAATATTTTGGTGGCAATACTGATTGCTTAATTCATTACATTGATATTTTAGTTGTCTGGTTTATTTTTTTCATTTAACTATATAGATATTTTTGCATAGATTTTTTTTCCTCTCTAATTCTCTTGATACTTATTCATTTTTATGTTAGAGGAATATCTATTTTTCTAATTAATACAGTCAAAAGTAGAATAATGTCACATTATACAAATAATGTGGAAATTTTCCATAGAAATTTTGCCATTAACTTACTTTAAAATTAGTTCCCAAGTGTGTCAATAATTTTTCATAAAATTATTTTTGAAACAGCTTATATAGTTCTACTTTAAAATTTACTTTTAAATATTTGTAATTTTAACCAACAACTTATAATTGTATATACTTATGAGGTAAGAAGTGATGTTATGACATGTCATGACATGTTATGATATGTTATATGTATACATACAATGTGGAATGATTGAATCGAGTTAATTAGCATATCAGTCCTATTGAATACTTATCATTTAATCCTCCTATCTAACTAAAACTTTGCATCCTTTGACCAACATCTCATTTTTGCTACGCCCCTAGCCTCTGGTAACCACCATTCTACTTTTTCTATATATGTTTATATTGTGGTTCCATATGAATTTTATAAATTTTTATTTATATGAAATATAGCATTGATATTTTTATAAAAATTTCATTGAATCTGTAGATCACTTTGGGTAGTATGGACATTTAAGCAATATTAATTCTAATTCATGAAGACATGAACATGTGTATTTCTATTTATTCATTATTTCAATTTAAGTACTATCATTTATTAATTTTTAGGATTCACCCTCAGATATGTCAATAATTTTTTATAAAATTATTTTGAAACAGTTTTTTTGCTCCATTTTTAATCTGAAGAACACCTTATTAGATAATATTAAGTTAATGTGTTACATGTAGCCGTTCACAGAAGGGAATATGTTAGAATATGATAGATTAGAATATATCATGTAAATAAAGATTAAATATAGCTAAAAGTTTAAAACTAAATTTGTCAATAATATTGTATATTGCCAATGGCTGTATATTGCCAAAGATATGTGTAAGTGTACTGAGTTGACATAAATATATAATGCACTTTGGGGCACAGTTATAGAAGATTAGAAAACACTTTTAAATTCAAATTTATGTATTTATTCTATAACTGTATTTGAATTTCAAATTTTAAAATTCAAATCAGCAGTATGCTTTAAATATCATATTTGTAAAAGTCACTCTCATGTTTTCAGGAAAAAGTACACCCTTGTTTGTGAAATGACATGCTGTTCCTCAGAAAAATGGCCTTTAATCAGTTGCTACATTTTTCTACCTTTCCTCATTTTAACTGCCATCATTGGTCTTAAATGGAACAAAATGAAGGGATTTTGACACTGAGCAAAAAGTGTAAGTGGAAGGTAAGTAAACTTGTTATTTTGTATATTTAATTTTACAAAAGGACTATGGGAAGAATTTGAGTATAAATTTAAATATTACAAATAGGAATTTTGAGAAGGATTGGGTTAATGTTTAGAAAAACTGAATGAGATATTGAATAAGAAGGTCTTACTATACACCAAAGTTTCTTTTCAGATTTTGGGCAGTTAGGTGTTCTACATATTCTTACAGGGCAAGGAACAACTGAAGCTGCTCATTAAATCCTCATTGCCTTTCAAATAGAAAGCCCATATTGGGGCGGGGCATGGTGGCTCATGCCTGTAATGCCGGCACTTTGGGAGACCGAGGAGGGTGGATCACGAGGTCAGGAGTTTGAGACCAGCGTGGCCAGCATGATGAAACCCTGTGTCTTAAAAATACAAAAAATGAGAAGGGCGTGGTGGCACATGCCTGTAGTCCCGGCTACTTGGGAGGCTGAGGCAGGAGAATTGCTTGAACCACAGGCAGAGGTTGCAGTGAGCCGAGATCATGCCACTGCACTCCAGAGTGAGACTCCGTCTCCAAAATAAATAAATAAATAAAAGCCATATTGGCTGAAATTGTTTGAGGATGTTCTTTGGATTTCCCAGACAACCCCACTTTTCATGCATTGACAGTCATTTGTATCAAGGATATCAATAGAGACAGTTGGGGAAGCAACTTTTGTGAATAGAATATGTAGAAGGTAAGAAAATAAAACAGGAAACGAGGGAGAGAAAGTAGATAGGAAACTGCACTTTGTGCACAATTAATATTCTTCAATGGTTTCTAAAATTATTACAAAGGTTTTTGCAGTTATTTTCTTTGCTGTAACATCATTGCATACTCAGTAAATATTTAGGGACAGAAGAATACGGATAATAAGGATAATAAGTGGATTTCTGTTTCTCACAGTTGAAGATGAAGATTAAATAATGATATAGAATTTCTACTAACACCTCTGTTTGCAAGCTAGATAATTTTATGTATCAACAAGTTAGCAGTAGCTAGCAGTTTAAAGTAATTGCAAAAACCGTAATTACTTTTGCACCAACCTAATAATTTCAGAGTAATATTCTGGATTTTTTGGAAGACACATAATTATCACATTGTTATAAATTAACTTAATTGAATGATAGCTAGCATAAGTCTTCTTTTGCTCTTAAGACATCTTGGAAATATGTGAATATTTACTATAAGTAAATATGAGTAATGGAAAAAATGTTGTAATAAGAGATTAATGGTTACAAATGACAAAATCTGTTCAAGCAGCCTCTTTTACAACCATAAGTGGTTTCAAGGCTGCAAGGGTAAGAAACTAACTAGAGTTGAAGCACAAAAGACAGTAATGAACTGGATGGCCAGGAACTAAGTCATTTCATCCATTACTGATTGACATTACCCCTTCTTGTCCCTGTCTATTCTCTTTATATTGACTGCTCTGGCTTTGACTTGGCCCAATACCTCTATCTCAACCCTTTCTATATTCACTTCCAAACAAAATAACAATAATCTTAGTCAATGTCTTTTAGTTAATATTCTCTGGAGACAGAAGAAAATAGCAGTGCAAGGGCACCTAAATTCATCCTGTATTCTATCTGGATTTATAATTCTGAGTTAGTTGTTCAAAACTTATCTTAAGAAAAAAACGGAGGCTTTATAAATACCACAAAATGAAACTAAATGTATCTGAAAGACACAGAGGCCTCATTAAGGGCCTCATTAATGAAAGAGAAATTATAGTCCAAATAGTTATTTACATAGTTATTAGTAGAAATACTGTAACTGTGTAAATGGTAATGTAAGAATTTGAAGATGTGCACTTATATATCTTTTTAACTGTGGAGAGGCATTATCATAGATATATTAGTATCTCATTCCATCTTCCATGTAGACAGGATAGAAAAAAATAATAGATTTTTAGTTTGAAATTTTTTAAAAAAGTCTTAAAACCTTTAAAAGTTAGACCAACATTAGATAAAGGCCAAACACAAAAATATATGCTGTCTGAGAGGTATATGGAAAGCAAAGTGGATATTGGTACCTACTAATTAACTATCACAAATGTAGCTTTTTTACTCTTCTTGATTTTGCTTAAGATTTTGCTTCTTGATTTTACAATGGCTATTAACCCTAAAACCAATGTTAATCTCTTTTATACGGTTCTACATCAGAAGACAGCAGTAGTAGCAGCAACAGTAACAGCAGTAGTGACAGCAACCAGTCATAGAGGTAAGTGATATAATTCATAATACATACATATTTAAAAATTTTTAACAACACCTTAGTATGAGAAAGCTATTATTCCCATATTTTATCATCCGAACTTCTACATTTTAATATCATATGCTAAGCAAAGACTAAAGTATTTTATGTTATTATTATTTTATGCTTATTTGGAAATATTTTAATGTAACTGATATTAGCCAGATATTTATAAAAAATATTTTTGTAATAAGAAGTGACTTCCAAATTATTTTACATACATTCTTAGAATATTTATGAATAATCATATTTCCTGCTCCTTCATTTAAGATTCTAATGTGTTTAGAAATTGGTAGATCTAATTGATTTACACAGATTGTTTCCCTATATTTACATTTTTTCCTTAATAACACTACATTGGTATTATTATCCTTATTTTAGAAATAAGAATATGGATGTAAAGAATTTAAATAATTCTTCATATGTATAGAGTTTTAGTGAGTTTTGCATTGGCGTTTAACTTAAAGCAATCAAACTCTAGAGTAGAAGCTTACAATCTTAAAACATATAGCCTGATATGTGGCTAGGGATAAGGAATAGAATAAACATGGATTGAGGACCTAGTTGATGCTTAGCAAAATGCTAAGTATACTCTCCCTCTGAGGCAGAAAGACAATTAATTATTTACTATGAAATGGCTTGAAATAGGCATATGTATGTACTATTCAAATTCATATGTGTAGAAAAATAATAAAGTTTGATGTTAGGCCTATCACTGGCAGTAAATTGAAAAGTTCAAAAATTCAATCTAGAGCAAGATCAAGATTTCATCCAATTGTTTATCTCCCATTCCTTCATATCAGACTTTGAGTAATAATTATGTCCATGGGTCTCTATTTCCTTATCTGCCACCAAATAAAACCTTTATAACTAGTAACCTCAGTGTGAAAATTTTATTCATGCCTAGACCAATCTCTACATCCTCCTTAAAAACTTTATTAGAAGCCCATGTCTTACCTGAGGATTCTGGCACTTGGCTACTGCCTTCTTCTCATGTCCTTCAATCAGAATCTCACCATCCTGCTGCGTGTCTTCACCTGAACTCCCTACCACCACCATCGGCCAACCACAGCCATTTTCTCCTAGAGCTTACCATTTCCCTGATTTCTTCCAACTCATAAGTCATAAATGCAACATCTTGCTTTCCTTTTTTCCTCTTTTCACAGCTTCCTTCTGCCAACAGTACCTTCTGGTTGCATTGAAGTCTTGCCTCAATAATTTGAGATAGAGGGTTAGGCTATCAGTCCATAAATAATAGACATATAAGTTGATGATATAGTAAATTGAAACATTATTAATCATATACAAAAGATTATAGCAGTAAGGATGAGTGGGGGAGTTGCTGTTGAGGAAAGTATTGGATAACAATTTTACATATTTTTTCTCTCAATAAGTCCTATAGCACAAGTGATTTGTAAGCAAATAATCTGAAGGAGGTGAAATAATTACTCAGTTTTAATCATTGAAAGGAGTTACCTGAGTTCAAAGGATGAACTCACAAAAAGCTTTTATTTAAACGCAAAGGGTACAGTGTAGCAAGAGAGAGTGCAGGCAAGCATTGGGGGTCAGAAAGACAAGGGGCTCCAAGGTTCCTTAATGTAGATTTTAAACAGCCCATTAACAATCCCAATGCCTTTTTCTCAACAAAAAGTCAAAACCAGATACCCAGGCTTTCCTAGAGATAAAGATTGAGTTTTTCCATTCTAGCTGTAAATCAAATCTATCCTACAGAGGCATGGAATTGGCAGAATTACTCATGCATATATCTAGGCAGTATATTTCCAAGCACATGAATGATATGATACAAAATAAGTTGGGAATGTTTGAAGAATACCAAAGATGTCAGTCCACCTGGAGCAGAGTTACTAAGAGGGCTATAGTTGTGGTTAGATCAGAGAAGTAACACCATGGAGGGTCTTGGAGCTTTTGGAGTCTGTCTCTGTTTTACTTTGAGTGAAAGGAAGGAATTACTGAATAGTTCAGATTCCAGCCACACGGCCTTACTCTTTAAAAGGCCGACTTGTTGAAAACTGTCTGTATGATCACAAGAGTAGAAGTAGAGAAAATACTGCAATAATACATGAGAGAAAAGATAGTACTTCAAACCAGGAGTGGTAAGGATAATCTTATGGATAAAATTTGAAGGTGACTCAGCAGAATGCATTGACTGTTTGGATGCAGAATGTAAGAAAAAGTGCTTAAATAATATGTCTATTGATGTAAAGCAGGAAAACAGCAAGGCTAAAATGTAAAACTAGGCCTGTTTCTAGAATGTGGGCTCTTCATACTTTTTAAAAGTCATTTGCAAGTCTATGAATACTGAGATATAAAAAAAATAGGTAACAGTGAGCCAAGACAAGTAACTGGTATGCCACAATAAGGATTTTAAATGTTTTTCTATATGAGCAAGAACATAAAGTATTTTTGAGGTTGTAAGAGAGATCTGGCATGACATGTTTTGCATTTACCTATTTCATTGGGATAAAGTAGGCAGAATGGATTCTGTCAGAACTGCAGACTGGTGAAGCAGCTAAGAGACTACTGAGTGCACAGGAAAGGTGTGATGAGGGCAGGATTAGAGAGGAGGAAAAGCACAAAAATATTTTCAGGAATATGACAGAGGCAGAATCTGTTGGATTGGTTACTGAATGGATATATTTGGATTAGAATAAAAGAGAGAACTACAAAGACCTCTACTTTTCTGGCAGAATGGATAGTGACACCTTTTACCAATTGTTGCAGGAAGTCAGGGACCCTGAATGGAGGGACTGGCTGGAGCCATGGCAGAGGAACATAAATGGTGAAGATTTCATGGACATTTATCAGTTCCCAAATAATACTTTATAATTTCTTATGCCTGTCTTTACTTTAATTTCTTAATCCTGTTATCTTCATAAGCCGAGAATGTGTGTCACCTCAGGACCACTGTGATAATTGTGTTAATTGTAAAAATTGATTGTAAAACATGTGTGTTTGAACAATATGAAATCAGTGCACCTTGAAAAAGAACAGAATAACAGTGATTTTTAGGGAACAAGGGAAGACAACCGTAAGGTCTGACTGCCTGCAGGGTCTGGCAAAAAGAGCCATATTTTTTATCCTGCAGAGAGCCTATAAATGGACTTGTAAGTAGGAGAGATATGACTAAATTCTTTTCCTAGCAAGGAATGTTAATATTAATACCCTGGGAAAGGAATGCAGTCCTGGTGGGGGGAGGGGGGCTGCAGTCTATAAAGGGCCGCTCTGGGAGTGTCTGTCTTATGTGGTTGAGATAAGGACTGAGATACGCCCTGGTCTCCTGCAGTACCCTCAGGCTTATTAGGGTGGGGAAAAACTCCGCCCTGGTAAATTTGTGGTCAGACCAGTTCTCTGCTCTCGAACCCTGTTTTCTGTTGTTTAAGACGTTTATCAAGACAATACGTGCACAGCTGAACATAGACTCTTATCAGTAGTTCTGTTTTGCCTTTTGTCCTGTTCCCTCAGAAGCATGTGATCTTTGTTCTGCTTTTTGCCCTTTGAATCATGTGATCTTTGTACCTACTCCCTGTTTTACACCCCCTCCTCTTTTGAAACCCTTAGTAAAAACTTGCTGGTCTGAGACTCAGGCGGGCATCATGGTCCTACCGATATGTGATGTCACCCCTGGAGGCCCAGGTGTAAAATTCCCCTCTTTGTACTCTTTCTCTTTATTTCTCAGCCAGCCAACACTTATGGAAAATAGAAAGAACCTACGTTGAAATATTGGGGGCGGGTTCCCCCAATAACCAATGACATACTGTATAGTAGGGAAAGAACTGTCTTAGGTTGGGGTGAGGAAGTGGAGGGGAGTGAATGATGATTATGGTTTTGAACGTGTATATGTGGAAACCTGTTGGAAATACACTGAGGGCTTTGGAAAATTCTCTCCCTCTGCAGATACATATATAATAGAGAAATTAATAGGAACTCTTTTGTATTTCTTCACAGGTTTGCATTGCTCTTTCCCCCTCTGTTTTCTCGTTGGTGATTTCCATTTATTGATGTAAATTTAGAGACCATGTTAATGAAACCTGTGTGACTACCAATTTATAACATTTACTTTTAATGTGGCTATCACAAATTATTCATGAATAAGGAACTTTGCTTTATGAATGTCCTGAATACCAGGCACAAATTATTAATACAACAGTATAGCAAGCAGTGTCTTATTTGAGTAATTAATTGCTATACCTGTAGTTGCATTATAAAAGTAGACAACTTTTATTAACAACGAAAATTTAACATTTCTATTTTTCTATATTTCTTTTACAACAGTAACTACATGATAACATCAAAAGCCATAAGATAGAGAAAGGATATTACCAAGAAACTTACCATTAACTGGCTTGATTCAACAATGAAAACAAAAATCGCCTTTTTTCTCCTTTCATTATGGCTTAAAGCTTTCAATTGCACAAACAAAATAAATTATATGACAGGAAGTATGCAAGCGTGTGTCTATTTATTATTCTACCTGCCATGAATCTTTAAGTAGGAAAAAACCACTTTTGCTCTTTTTCACCCAGAAACCTGTTGTCACGCGCATCCGTGTGAAGACACCACCAAGCAGGCTTTGTGTGAGCAATAAAGCTTTTTAATCACCTGGGTGCAGGCAGGCTGAGTCTGAAAAAGGCGTCAGCAAAGGGAGATGGGGTGGGGCAGTTTTATAGGATTTGGGTAGGTAGTGGAAAATAACAGTCAAAGGGGGTTTTTCTCTTGCAGGCAAGGGCAGAGGCTACAAGGTGCTCGGTGGGGAGCTTCTGATATTCATTGTCCAAGAGAAAGAATTTCACAAGGTCAATTGATCAGTTAGGGTGGGGCAGGAACAAATCACAATGGTGGAATGTCATCAGTTAAGGCAGGAACCAGCCATTTTCACTTCTTCTGTGGTTCTTCAGTTGCCTCAGGCCATCTGGATGTATACGTCCAGGTTTGGGCTCAGAGGCCTGACACCTGTTACATCCTAAACTGAAAACTTTCAGATTCTTCAGATGCCCACAACTGCTCCCGTCTCAAGAGAGGACACCAATAGCCACACCTCCAATAGTTCATGATTCCCCTGCCCTCTCTGTTCCAGGCATTAGGATACCGACTGGAAGAATTGATAGATATTCACTCTCATAGCCCCCAGATAGTCACTAGTATCCCTTCTACTTTAAAGAAATTGCTCAAACTGAGTTTGAGGTCATAGTACCATCAGGTACGTATGCTTCGTTGGCCCTGTATAAACTGATCTGGAAGATTTCTCTGTCCTTTGAGAAAACTCAAACTTGCTGCTCTATCTTCCCTGAAGTTGGGCATTTCTGGGTAAGATTTTCTTGCCTCGGTCTCCCCTCCCATCCGTCTCTTGCTAAGATGGGGGCACTTCTACATATCGCAGAGCATTACACATGGGTTAGGGATCCATCAGCCCACCTGGAGTCCAATTAGGACCTACAGAGTCTTCATCACAAACCAAGATGCTCCTTAGACAGGGGTGGAGGAACCTCACCACAGAGGTCCAGAGTTTCCTATTCCAAATATCCATCAACTGAAAAATGGGTAAACAAAATGTGGTATATCCAAACAATGGAATATTATTCAGCCCTAAAAAGGAATGAAGCACTGACACTGGTACAACATGATTGGTCCTTGAAACCATTATGCTAAGTGAATAAAGCCAGTCACAAACATCAGATATTTACATGTGTATTTGAAGAAGCCTCATTGTCTGGGGTAAGTACCAAGGTTCTCGGTCTCATGGCCAAGGAGATGGAGGTCGTGGACACACACACACAGACAAACACACAGACACACACACACACACACACACACACACACACACAGAGGGAATTTGGAGCAGGAGTTTAATAGACAAAAGGGAAGAACAGCTCTCTGTCTCAGAGAGGGGTCCCAAGCGGGTTGCCAAGTTGTCAGGGTTTTTATAAATGGGCTAGTGAGGACGGGGCTCGTGAGGAGGGGATGTCTTATCCTCCTAGGGCCAGATGGTTTGATTGAGAACAGGTGTGTTATCTGTATGGTGCAGAGTTTTTGTCAGTTCTCATCCCATTCCCTGCCCACATAGGCAGAATCTCAGTCTGTGTAACTTTGTTCTGCTTATCTGGGAGGGAGAGTTTCTGTGTCTGTTCCCAGACATCTTCCTGCATCCGCAGGCATCCCCCTGCCCCCACAAGTCTGCTTTTGGCTTCCCTATCTCAGTGTGCCTAAAGGGAAAGGAATGTGCTTATTAAAGCCCTCTGTTTTACTGGGGCCCATTGTGTAAGTGTGAAGTCTGGTGATTACCCAGGAGACCTTCCCCTTCTTTCTGTGTCCAAGCTGTTGATGTGTGATTTACAGCCTGAACTTTCAGCCTGCTTGTTGTTAGAAGAGAAGTGATTTCTTTGAACTGCCTGAGGTTAGAAAGGGAGGTATTTTTGAGCTGCTTTTTGTTAAAAGGAAAGATTTCTGCCAGGGACTCACTTTACCCTGTCTACCTAAATAATTTCTTTCTGCCTCCTATAACATATTCATTTGTATGAAAAGTCCAGAATAGAGACATCTCTTAAGATAGAAATTAGTTTAGTGGTTGTTTAGGGAGTAGAGGGGTGGGATAAAGAACTTGTTTTGGGGGTGGGAGGATACTTTATGGCTAATGGGCACAGAGTTTCTTCATGATGTGATGAAACTAATTTCAAATTGACTATAGTGATGTTCACACATATCTGAGAACATATTAAAAATCACTTAATTGTATGCTTTAAATGGGTAAATTGCATGGCATATGAATTATATCTCAATAAAGCTGTTTAAAAATACAACCTGGGATAAATTTACCAGAAAATATAACCTGGGATAATTCTACCAGATTTCTCTCATCTTCATTGCCACTAACTTATTTTGGGTCATTGTGCTCAATGGCCTGCTTCTTGTCAATAATAATTTTTGAGCTATCTGTTCAGGCGTACCAGCACTTAGCAGATCCAAGTTTTAGTCCTGATCAGTCTTATTTATTTTATTTGTTTTTTATTTTTTGAGATGGAGTTTTGCTCTTGTTGCCCACGCTGGAGTGCAATGGCACGATCTTGGCTCACTGCAACCTCTGCCTTTGGGGTTCAAGCAATTCTCCTGCCTCAGCCTTCCAAGTACCTGGGATTACAGGCGCCCACCACCACACCAGGGTAATTTTATATTTTTAGTAGAGATGGAGTTTCACCATGTTGGCCAGGCTGGTCTCGAACTCCTGACCTCAGGTGATCCACCCATCTTGGTCTCCCAAAGTGCTGGGATTACAGGCATGAGCCACCACTCCCGGCCCTGATCAGTTTTATTTTTGCACACAATTTTGCACACAATTTTTGCACACATATTTTGACACAATTCATCCCTGAAATAGGGGGTACTGGAGTAAAAGGCTTGAGTGTGATAGATGGGTTGGGTTTTGGACATGTGCCATTTAAGATATTTGTCAAAAAGTTAAGGGAGGCAGTTGCATAGTCTTCTACAGTGGTCTCAATTTTTCTCTCTCCCCTTGCCTTGCTGCCCTTCCTGTCTCCACAGTTTCTTACTTAGAGCTTAGAGTCACTGTTAACAAAACAGTCAGATTGCATTGTAAAGGTTTTCTTTTCCCTTAGAACACTATATTATAATCTTGTGTAGTAAGCAAGGTACACAGTTGAAGTAAAGTGCTTTCTGATTGTCTTTTCAAGATAAAGTTCCATTTTCTTGAATTCTCTTTATTTGCAAAAATAACACTAAATATTAAAGCTTTCCTTTCTCTTTCCTCCACTGATTATAATATAGTTTTATGAGAAAAATACACTGTTGAAGAAATGTGCTTTTTGATGGTCTTAGTGGGATCAACTCCATTTTCTTTTCTGCAAATTTATTTCAAATAATTTTGTGTATTTATAGGGTACAGCGTGATGTTTTGATCTATCTATACATTATAGAATGCTTCAGTCAAGCTAGTTAATATACCCATCTCCTCATCAATTTATCTTTTCTTTGTGGTGAGAACATTGAAAATAAATTTTAGCAATTTTGAAATATGCATTATTATTAACTGTGATCACCATGTAGTGCAAGAGATCATTAAAACTTATTCTTTCAGTCTGACTCATATTTTGTACCTTTAGATCAACATTTTCCCTTTCCCCATCCCTCATCCCACCTTCCCTGGCCTCTAGTAATCATCCTTCTATAAGATAGACTTTATTAGATTCCACATTCAAATGAGATCATACAGTATTTGTCTTTCTGTGCCTGGCATATTTCCCTTAGCATAACGTTCTCTGGTTCCATCCCTGTTGTTGCAAATGAATTTCCTTCGTTAAGGCTGTATACTATTCCACTGTGTATATTTACCACATTTTCTTTATTTACTCATTCCTCATTGACACTTAGGTTGATTCCATATCTTGGTTATCATGAATAACGGTGAAATCGTACCAGCATTAAAAAGTTCAATTTTCTTGATTTTTCCGTATTTGCAAAGATATTTAAGTCAGCAGTAGCATGTAGAAAATTGCTAGTAATAATAGCTAATAATAATAGCTGTTATTTCCCTTTTCCTCTTTCTCCTCCACCTTAGTAAATAAAACCTGCCATAAAACTGTGATATGGAGAAACAAAATTACCAACCTCACTAAAGAAAACCTCACTAAAAAGGAAAATCTAGCTTATTTACCCCAATGTAACTACTGAGGGCTTTAAACAACTTAAACGTCTCTG
Source organism: Homo sapiens (assembly GCF_000001405.40). Classification (NCBI taxonomy): domain Eukaryota; kingdom Metazoa; phylum Chordata; class Mammalia; order Primates; family Hominidae; genus Homo; species Homo sapiens. Next base: position 39,584,399 of record NC_000008.11, read on the forward strand.
CAACAAATTTTGTGCAAACACCTATGCTTGCATCTGGCATTTCCCCTCCCCGCCCTGCGGAAGTGGCCCAGCTCTCAGAGCTCCTCAGACCTCACCCCCAGGGTCCTGGGGCAGCACAGGGTCCTCCCTGGCCCAGGCGCCCGGTGGCCGAGAGCCTGCCCGCGAGCTCAACGCTGCTCAACGGTCTCTGTCCTTGGCTGTGGCTCCTGCGCTCTGGCTGAGCCATGTTCCTTCTCCTCGCCCTCCTCACTGAGCTTGGAAGACTGCAAGCCCACGAAGGTAAGTCCATGGGAGCCTCCCCTTTCTTCTTCGACTTTATAGCTGGGCTGGGCTCTTACTGGGAGCAGTTTCTTGTCATTCTGGGACCCTCCCCCTCTCCCTTCTGGGATCCCATGCTGGTGCTTCTGGTGTGTCAGGGACACCTTTCCACGCCAGGCCAGGGGGAACTAAAGGCCTTAGCGGAGGACCTGTTAGCGCTCTGCATCAGCGCCCATGGTCTCAGTGGCCCACACGCAGTGCGTCTTCTGGCATCTTCCCACTCTGTGAAGGAGGGTGGAGGTGGTGGAGTACTAACTGCCTTCAGCGAACTCCTCAGAGTCCTGAGGAAGCAAGTCTCTCATCGATTCTAAAAGGGAACCAGAGGGGCCTGTAGAACTGCAATGTCTAATTTTTTTTTCTTTTTTTGTGTCTTAGCCATTTTCAATGTGCTGTTGATTATGTAGTGAAATTTGTGGACTAGAAAGAGTGTGAGCACATGAGAGAACTTCTACTTAAAATTTTAGGCGCCACCATGCAGTCCGGGATAAGAACCCGTGCTTGACTGAGACGATTGTTGATGCAAAACAAAGACAAAAACAAACACATTTTCTTACTGCAGGTTCTGAAGGAATATTTCTGCATGTCACAGTTCCACGGAAGATTAAGTCAAATGACAGTGAAGTTTCAGAGAGGAAGGTAAATGATGAGGAATATTTATTCTATATTTAAAGCTTTATGGCAATTTTTATTTACCCTTATATTAAGTCAGATCATACTAATTTGTATTCATTGCCAAATCATAATATTTTGCCTGTGCTATTTTGTCTCCTACCGTGTTTTGATCCTCTTGTTCCCCCATTTCTGCTGCTTATTTCCCTGTCTTTTCTCTTCATCTCTTCTTAACATACTACTTGTTCACAATTTCCAAGAAATGCTCAGCAATCAAACTGGTGGGAAAAAGAAATCAATATAAAATATTCATGACCATGGTTCAGCCAACAAATTAACAAATTTTTTATTGTCCAGTAAATGATGTAGAAATTTGTCATAAGTAAAATTTAGACATGCAAAATTTGACCCACAAGCATCAGTCTTAATAGCACGTAATGTACAAAGAAATTTTAAAAAAGCAAAGAAAAAATAAAAATATCACATTTGCCCTATTATGATGAAAAATATTACAATAAGTAAATATTAACTGGAAAAAGAAGTTGGAAAATTACTAACCTGCCTGCTAGATTAAAAACTGATTAAACTGAAGGCATTCAGTCTTGCATGTTTTCTTGATTGAAACACCTGAAATTGACAGATTTAAAATGTTTTATTTTACAAACTGGAAGTCACAATATAGGGGTTTATATTTCTATGCAGTCAAAATGGGCACAATATATGTCAACTCTGAAAATGTTTCAGGTTGAAAGAGTGATTTTAAAATTATGAGTAAGGAAAAGATTAATCTATTAATTCTATTTTGGCACACAATATTGGGACCTACCATGGCTATGTTCTACTAGTGAACAATTATAATAAAGTATATGTCAAATTATGTTTGGGAATCACAATAAAATGAATACTTTCTTTTAGAGAAGTTGGAAAGGATTTTCATATATAAATCTTATTTATCACATTATCCTTCTGAAATAGGATTATTTATTACATATATTCTTTTTAAAAGACAGAGGATTAAAAAATATTAATGGCATCAAATCTGTGTTAGCATGTAGAGTCTAATCTTTAATTTTTAACTCCATTTCCACTACAGTAAGCTGCTTTCTGTTGAAGAATTATTTGCATAAGTTATTTTCTGCCAACACAATCCCATCCCAACACTTTGGGATCCCAAGGTTGGAGGATCGCTTGAGCCTAGGAGTTTGAGGCTGGCTTGGGCAAGTTGGTGAGACCCCATCTCTACAAAAATAACTTAACTGGGTGTGGTGGTGTGTGCCTGTAGTCCCAGCTGTTCTGGAGGCTGAGGTGGGAGTACCCCTTGAGCCCAGCGGTTGGAGGCTGCAGTCAGCTGTGATTGTGTCACTGTACTCCAGCCTGGATGACAGAGCAAGACTTCATCTCTTAAAAACAAAAAACAAACAAACAAAAAACTATCTATCTATCTATCTATCTATCTATCTATCTATCTATCTATCTATATCTATCTATCTATCATCTATTCTGTTTTTTCCCCAGATTTACTACTATTGTACATTGTCATTGCATAATCACTGTAAACTTCAAATTTCTTACTACTTGTCAAGAAGCATATAGCAACTACGCAGGGCTTGATGAAATAGTTTTACTATGAGAGACATGCAGTATTCATTCGTTGTCTACACTTTTGGTATTATTTATATGGAATTCTTGAAGCTATATTTTATTGTATAGGGTATTATTTTCATGTTTTTAAAACTTTATTGAGTTATAATTGATATAAAAATTGCACATATCTAACGTAGACATTTTCCTGAGTTTGAATATATGCATACACCCATGATATCATGACCACAGTCGATGTACTAAACATATCCATCACCTCCAAAAATGTCCTTGCATACTTTTGTTTTGTGTTTTGTGCTAAGAATGCTGAACATGAGAATGATTCTCTTAACATATTTTCAAGTGCACAATGGTGTATCGTTAACTATAGGTACTATGTTATACAGCATATCTCTAGAACTTATTCATCTTTCATTACTGGAACTTTGTATTCATTGAGCAATAATTCCCTATTTCTCTCGACCCAGACCCCTGGCAACCACTATTCTATTCTCTGCTTTTATGATTTCCACTGTTTTATTTTATTTATTTGTTTGAGATGGAGTTTTGCTCTGTTGCCCAGGCTGGAGTGCAGTGGTGTGATCTTGGCTCACTGAAACCTCTGCCTCCTGGGCTCAAGCAATTCTTGTTCTTCACCCTCCTGAGTGGCTGGGATTACAGGTGCATGCCACCACACCTGGATAATTTTGTATTTTTTTAGTAGAGATGGAGTTTCCCCATGTTGGCCAAGCTGGTCTTGAACTCCTGAACTCAAGTGATACACCAGACTCGGCCTCCCAAAGTGCTGGCATTACAGGCGTTAGCCACCACACCCACCTATTTTAGCTATTTTAGATTCCTCATATAAGTAAGTGGAATCATATAGTGTTTGTCCTTCTGTGACTGTCTCATTTAACATAACATAATGTTCTGTGGGTTCATTCACGTCTCAAATAGGATTTCCTTCTTTTTTGAAGCTAAATAGTGTTCCAATATGTTTATATGCCACATTTTCTTTATGCATTCATGTCATTGAACATTTGGGTTGCTTCCAAACCACGAATATTGTGAATAATGTTGGAATTAACATGGGGCTGCAGATATCTCTTCAATTTCATGGCTTTAATTTTTTTGGATATGTAGCCAGAAGTTGCATTGCTGGATTATATGGTAGTTCTATTTTTAATTTTTTGTGGAACCTCCATACTGGTTTTCATAATGGCTGCACCATTCTCCATTCCCACCAATAGTGTACAAAGATTCCAACTTCTCCACATCTTTGCCAGTGCTTGTCACCTTTTGCTTTTGTTTGTGGGTGTGGGTTTTTTTTTTTTTTTTTAACAAAACCCATTATAATAGCTGTGAGGTGATATTTCACTGTGGTTTTGATCCTGCATTTTTCTGATGATTAATGATATTGAGTACTATTTCTTATACCTGATGGTCATTTGTATGTTTTCTTTGGACAGAAGTTTATTCAGGTCCTTTGCCCATTGTTTAATCAGGTTATTTGTTTTGTTTTGTTTTTGGCTGTTGAGTTGTAGAAGGTCCTTTTGACATTTTGGATATTAGCTCTTTGTCATATAGATCATTTGAAATATATTCTTCTATTCCATAAAACAATGGCTTAAATTTTAGGATATTACAGGAACTATGAAGAAGGTTTCAAACTTTCTGTTTTATCTAAGTATACATATGGAAGCCATAGTGCCATTGTTGGTTCAACACTGGGAAACAACTCTCCAGTTGGGGAGAGCTGACCTCAGTTGGGATGTGTTTATTTCCTGCTATCAATGCCTTCTTGCCAAAGACCATTGCAAGCACGCCTGCAATTGAACAAGTGAGGATTATTACACACTGCAGTGAGGGAGAATGCACACCTTGGGGAGCCATGGAGCATCTCTTTAGGAGGTTGTTAAAGTACTTATAAGATTTTGGCTTGTGTTTTGGGAATTTGGGGGAAGTTTTAGGATGCGTGCCTTTGTTCTGGTTTAGATATGGTCAGGAAGTAGGCATAATACTATGATTGTGTATCTTAGTAAGTCTTATCTAGGGCACGGGAAGACCAGAACATTCCTAAATCTGTCATTAGTTAAGAAGCAGCAGCCATTCATGCTAGCCCAATAAGGGCATATTCAATCTTTCTGTTTTTTTGGCTTGGGAGGGCTTACATTTAGTTGGTGTTCACACATGATTATGAAGTAGTCTTGGTTTTGTCTTGATGCATAATTGTCTCACAGTGGTCCTGTGTTACGTTGATGTCCTTTTAAAGTGCTTATATTCAACAGCAGAATTCCAAGTCTAGCTGATAGTGCCAAGCCAACTCCTTAATGTTACTGGCTGCTTTCCCCTTTCTTATTCTTTATGTGATTAATTTATGTTAGGCACATTATATCTTACTCAGACTATAGCCAGAAGCAAGCATTGGAATCATAAATGTCTGCACAAGACATATATATATATACTTCATAATGAATTAAGTTGTCATGGTAAGGTTGAGAAGAACCATCTATGCAGAGTATCTATTCCAAATGACTGTTGTTTATAGCTATTAATATAGAGAATATAAGAATATATGTAAGTACATATTGTGTATAAATTATGTATGATTATGTGTATGTTATGTATATCAAGATGTATGTATATCTTCCTTGACATGCGTATTTTACACACACAAACATGTCAATGATTGTGTACACACATGAAGAAATATATATATAAATATATACACCAACATGGGTGTATGTATGTATATATTTATTATTAATATTTTTATTAGAAATAATTTTTAATTACTAATTTTGTAACATGTTTAAAAATTTTAAACTTTCATTTTAAGTACTCCTGAGTCATATTCTACACTTTTTATTCATTTTTCAATATTTTAAAATGAATGCCATTTATGCAGCCAAAATACACATGAAAAAATGCTCATCATCACTGGCCATCAGAGAAATGCAAATCAAAACCACAATGAGATACCATCTCACACCAGTTAGAATGGCAGTCATTAAAAAGTCAGGAAACAACAGGTGCTGGAGAGGATGTGGAGAAATAGGAGCACTTTTACACTGTTGGTGGGACTGTAAACTAGTTCAACCATTGTGGAAGTCAGTGTGGCAATTCCTCAGGGATCTAGAACTAGAAATACCATTTGACCCAGCCATCCCATTACTGGGTATATACCCAAAGGACTATAAATCATGCTGCTATAAAGACACATGCACACGTATGTTTATTGTGGCATTATTCACAATAGCAAAGACTTGGAACCAACCCGAATGTCCAACAATGATAGACTGGATTAAGAAAATGTGGCACATATACACCATGGAATACTATGCAGCCATAAAAAATGATGAGTTCATGTCCTTTGTGGGGACATGGATGAAATTGGAAATCATCATTCTCAGTAAACTATCGCAAGAACAAAAAACCAAACACCGCATATTCTCACTCATAGGTGGGAATTGAGCAATGAGATCACATGGACACAGGAAGGGCAACATCACACTCTGGGGACTGTTGTCGGGTGAGGGGAGAGGGGAGGGATAGCATTGGGAGATCTACCTAATGCTAGATGACAAGTTAGTGGGTGCAGCGCACCAGCATGGCACATGTATACATATGTAACTAACCTGCACAATGTGCACATGTACCCTAAAACTTAAAGTGTAATAAAAAATAAAATAAAATAAAAAAAATAAAATGAATGCTATCATTCCTTTTGGCTCAAGTATTTTGGGAAGAGGACATTTTGCCTTTAATTTCCAAAATAAATTTTTTCTAGATTTTCTTTTTTAAACTAAAATAACATTTTACATTGATAAATAATACATATATCTCAATGAATTTTCACAAAGTAGACACACCTCCAAAATTAGCACTCGATTCAGAAATAGAACATAAGAGCAAGTCACAAACTCTCTCATGATTCCTTCTGGTTATTTTCCTGTTTATTTTGACTTATAATACTTTTGCTTATTATTGTTCAAAACTGAAAGTTCCAGGCATGTCTTGGAGATATTGCAGGTTTGGTTCTAGACTACCAAACTAAAGTAAGTCACACAAACTGGTATCCCAGTGCATACCAAACTTATGTTTGGTATACTATATACTATAGTTTATTAAGTGTGCAATAGTGCTATGGCTAAAAATAACATTGTATAAACCTTAATTTAAAACACTTTATTACTAAAAAATTGTAACTATCATCTGAATTTTCAGTGAGTTGTAATCTTTTGCTGGTTACAATCAGGCCTTGTCTGATGTTGATGGCTGCTGACTGATCAGGGTGGTGGTTGAAGGTTGGGGTGGCTGTGCCAATTTCTTAAAATAAGACAATGATGAAGTTTGCTGTGTCGGTTGACTCTTCCTTTCATGAAAGATTTCTCTATAGTATGCAATGCTGTTTGATAGCATTTTACCCACAGTAGAACTTATTTTAAAATTGGACTCAATCTTCTCCAACCCTGCCACTGCTTTATCAACTAAGTTTATGTAATTTTGTAAACTCTTTTTTTGTAATTTTAACAGTATTCACAGCATCTTTACTAGGAGTAGATTCCATCTCAGGAAACCAACTTCTTTGCTCACCCGTGAGAAGTAACTCCTCATCGATTCAAGTTTTATTATGAGATAGCAAAATTTCAGTCATATCTTCAGCCTCCACTCCTAATTCTAGTTCTCTTGCCATTTCTACCACATCTGTAGTTATTTTCTCCACTAAATTCTTGAATCCCTCAAAGTCATTCATGAGAGCTGTAATTAACTTTTTCTGAATTCCTGTTAGTGTTGATATCTTAACCTCTTTCCATGAATCGTGAATTGTCTTAATGACATGTAGAATGGTGAATTCTTTTCATACTTTTTCAATAGACTTTGCCCAGATCCAACAGAGGAATCACTATTTATGGCAGCTATAGCCTTACAAAATGTATTTCTTAAGTAATAAGACTTGAAAGTCAAAATAGCTCCTTGACTGGGCTGCAGAATGGACGCTGTGTTCGCAGGCAGGAAAACAGCCTTAATTTCCTTGCACATCTCCGTTAGAGCTCCTAGGTGACCAGGTACATTGTCAATGAGCAGTAATATTTTGAAAATAATCTTTTTTTCTGAGCAGTAGGTCTCAACAGTCAGCTTCAAATATTTAGTAAACCATATTATAGTTATACTATCATCCAGACTTTGTTGTTACATTTCTCATCACAGGCATAAGTACATTTAGCATAATTCTTAAGGGCCCTAGCATTGTTAGAACGGTCACTGAGTATCAGCTTCAATTTAAAGTCACCAGCTGTAATAAGCATTAACAAGAGAGTCAGCTCGTCTTTTAAAGCTAGACATTAAGATTGGGTAGAATGATAGTTCTATTTTTAGTTTTTTGATGTTTGACCCAGCAATTTCACTAACTGGTATCTAAATACCCATTTTACATTGATAAAAAAAGGAATATAGATCATTTTAAAAAGACACCTGCACTTGTATGTTTATTGCAGCACTATTCACCATAACAAAGTCATGGAACCAATCTAAATGTCCACCAACAGTTCACTGGATAAATAAAAGGTGGTATATATACACCATGGAATATTATGCAGCCATAAAAAAGAATGAAATCATGTCTGCTCTAGCAACATGGAGGAACTGGAGGCCATTATCCTATGTGGAATAACCCAGAAGTAAAAAAATAAAATATTACATGTTCTCATTTATAAGTGGGAGCTAAATAAATGGTACAGTTGGACATAAAATGATGAAGAAAATAGACTCTGGGGACTCCAAAATGGGGGATGGGGACAGAATACCTACTGGGAACAATGTCCAATATTTGAGTGATGGGTACACTAGAAGCCCAACCCCCAGCATCATGCATGTAATTCCCATGTAACAATCAAGCACGTGTACCCCTGAATCTAAAATAACAATTTAAAAAGTGCTATGCATGGATTTCCCCTCTCTAGCTATGAAAGTCTCTAGCTGAGTCCTAGATGGTGTATTCTTCCAGTAGAAGGCTGTTTTATCTACACTGAAAATCTGTTGTTTAGTAGAGCGGTCTTCATCAATTATCTTAGCTAGATCTTACAGATCACTTGTTTCAGCTTCTGTATTGGGACTTGCTGCATCACCTTGCATTTTTGTTATGGAGATATCTTCTTAAATCTCATGAACCAACCTCTGTTAGCTTCACTCTTTTCTTCTTCACTTTCTTTTCATTTTCAGTCTTCATAGAAATGAAGAAAGTTAGGACTTTTTTCCAGATTAAGCTTTAGCTTAAGGGAATGTTACGGCTGGTTTGATTGTCTATCCAGACGATGAAACCTTCTCCATATCAGCAATAGCTTGTTTGCTTTTATGTTATGGGGCCATTGATTTTTATTCTTGAGTAATGTTGCTAAAATGTCCATACTACCCAAAGCAATAGGCAGATTCAGTGCAATCCCAATCAAAATTCCAATGGCATTCGTCACAGAAATACAAAATACAATGCTAAATTTTGTGTGGAACCACAAAATAACCTCGAGTAGCCAAAGCAATACTGAGGAAAAAAGTTAGAGGCATCATACTTCCTGATTTAAAATTATATTTAAAAAACATAATATTCAAAACAGTATGGTTTTGTCATAAAAAAAAAATCAGACATGTAGACCAATAGAAGAGAACAGAGAGCCCAGAAATGAATCCAAACATATACAGTCAACAGATTTTCCACAAGTTCACCAAAAGGATACAATGGGGAAGGATAGTCGAAAGACTATCTTCTGTCAGGTTTTGCTTCTTATATTTTGCAGTTCTGTCTTTTGGGGCATACCCATTTAGGATTATTACATCTTGCTGGATTGATACCCTTTATCATTATATAATGCCTTTCTCATTCTCTGATAAATATCTTTGCATTATTTGATACTAATATAACAATTTCTACTTTCCTTTGATTTATGTTTACATGATAAGTTTTCTTCAATATTATTGCTTTCAGCCAGCCTAGGCAATTGTCTTTGATGTGAAATTATTTTTAACAGAATATAGCTTTGTCAATTTTTAAATCCAGTCAATCTGTAATTTTGCCTATTCATATCATTTATATTTAACGTCACCATTGGTGTTACATCTACCAAGTAATTTTTTGTTTTGCTTTTAATTTTTATTTTCTTTTTCATGCTTATGTATAAATTACCAGAATAACATAGTTTTTTGCTGTGGGGTTGGTTCAAGAATATATACTTGTAGAGCTCTTTTAGTGGTTACTTTAGATATTACATTACATGTACGTAACTTTTCACAGCCTACTGTCATCATTTCACCAGGTTAAGCAAACTATTTAAACCTTAATGTGTTTCTAAATATATGTTGAGGAAATATTTAAGGCAATTATAAATGGGCTAAAGTAAAGGAACACAAAGAAATAAGTGTAATAATTTTTGCCTCAATCTTCAAATTAATTTGGAAAACTCAATATGAAAAGGTAAACTTTTGTAATTACCCATACTTTCCCCTCTATGTTTTTTGTTCATTCTGGGTGTTTCAATCCTTCCTCTTTTATTTTTCCTTTTTTGTTTAGAGAAATTTATTTAGTCGTTTTCTTAGTGTAGGTTTGTATGAGACAAATTCTCTTAGTTTCCTGATCTGAGAATGTCTTGATTATCTCTTCATTTATGAAGGATATTTTAAAGTGGATTTTCATAGAATTCTAGATTTATGGGTCTTTTTTTTCATCGTATTTATGTTACGACATTTCCTTTGATCTTCATGTCTTCTTATGAGAAATTTGCTGTCATTTGTTTTTTTTTCCCTAATGGGTAAGTTGTCATTTCTTTCATTACTTTCAAGATTTTAAAAATTTCCTTTAGTTTTCAGAAATTGAACTATGATGCATTTTGCTGTGAGTTTTTTTTTTTTTTTTTTTTTTTGGTAATTGTTTCCTTTGTAGTCTCAATAGTTTCTAGCTTCTTAAATCAATAGGTTTATGATTTTGTCAAATTTGGTAAATTTTCACCCGCTATTTCTTGTGAGTACCTTTTCAACTGTAGCCTCCGTCTCTATTTGGGATTCTAATGACACTGGTAGAATTTTTGTTATAGTACCCTAGGTCCCCGAAGCTCTGTGCATTTTTTGTCATTTTCTGGTAGAATTTTTGTTATAGTACCCTAGGTCCCTGAAGCTCTGTGCATTTTTTATCATTTCCTCTCTACATTTTTTGTAAGTTTCCTCAATTTTCAGATTGGATAATTTCTATTATTCTGTCTCCCATTTCAGTATTTTCTCCCCTAACCCCATGCTGTGGTTGAGCCCTTCCACTTAGATTTTTATTTTGGTAACTTTGTTTTCATGTGTTATTCATTGTACCTAACTGGAATCCTGAATAGGTGAAGCACAGGGCTGACTTTCACTGCCATGGAGGTGGTGCTTCATCACTACAAGGAGGGACTGCAATCTCAGCTCTACACTGGACCCTGTTGACACTGTGCCTGTTGGTAGTTCCAGGTTGCTGTCTTCTCCAGCAAACCATTTACAAGCATGGGAGTCAAAAGAAAACCAGTGAACTGTTTTTATTTTTTATTTTTATTTTTTTAAATATGTATTTATTTGTTTATTTTGAGATGGAGATTCACTCTGGCTGGATTCACTCCAGGAGATTCACTCTGGAAATTCACTCCAGGCTGGAGTACAGTGGCATGATCTCAGCTCACTGTAACCTCTGCCTCAGAGGTTTCAAGAGATTCTCCTGCCTCAGCCTCCCAAATAGCTGGGATTAGAGGTGCACACCACCATACCTGGCTAATTTTTTTGTATTTTTAGTGGAGATGGGGTTTCACCATGTTGGCCAGGCTGGTTTCAAACTCTTGACCTCAAGTGATCCACCCACCTCGGCCTCCCAAAGTGCTGGGATTGCAGGAGTGAGCCACCATGCCCGGCCTGAACTAGTTATTGCTCAAGTCCTTATATCACTGGTTAGTCTGCCTTCTTGTTTCCATTTCTCCAAAATTTTTTATTTTTATTTTTCAATTATATTCCCAGGATTTCTTAGCTTTAAGAGGGAAGAACTTGGAAGAATGAGGCTATTCCATTTTGGCTGGAACCAGAAATCTGATCTTATCCATTTTTAATTTCAAGAATTTCTAAAATAAACTGTGTGTGTGGTGTTTTTTTAGAGCAATATTAGGTTCAGAGAAAAGATGAGAAGAAAGTACAGAATCTTTCAGCTTACCACTGTCCTTATGGATGTGCGGCCTCGCTGACTATCAGATCTCAGATGTTTGTTTCAATTAACAAATCTATATTGACACATCATCACTCAAAATTTCATAGTATACATTAGTGCTGTGTACCATGTGGGTTTGAACAAATGTATAATGACATGTATCCACTAATAGTATCATACAGAATAAGTTCACTGTTCTAAAACTCCTTTGTGCTCTACCTAATCATCCCTCCCCACCAACCAAATCCTTGACATTTACTTATTCTTTTACAGTCTCTATAGTTTGGCCTTTTCCAGAGTGTGTTATAATTGGAATCTTGAAGTATGTAGCCTTTTCAGATGGCTTTTCTTCCCACTTAGTATGCATTTAAGATTCTTTTATGTCTTTTAATGGTTTGATAGTTCATTTCTATCACTGAATAATAATCTATTGTCTGCTGTACCACAGTTTATTTATGTATACCTACTGAAGGATGTGTTGGCTGCTTCTAAGATTTGGCAGCTATGAATTAAGCTGCCATAAATATTTCTGTATAGATATTTGTATGGACATAAGTTTTCAGCTCTTTTCAGTAAATACCAAGGAACACAATTGCTGGATTATATGGTAAGAGTATGTGTAGTATTGTAAGAAACTGCCAGCTTATCCTCCAAAGCTGATCTATTATTTTGCATTTCTACAAACGAAGAATAAGAGTTCCTGTGGCTCCTCATCTTTACTTCAATTGGGGTTGTCAGTGTTTGCGTTTTGACTATTCAAATCAATGTGTAATAATATTTTATTTTTAATTTGCAATTCCTTAATAATGTATAAGGATTAATTTTTTTAGAGCAGTATTAGGTTCAGAGAAAAGATTAGAAGAAAGTACAGAATCTTTCAATATACCACTGTCCTTATGGATGCACAGCCTCCCTGACTATCAGGTCTCATGTTTGTTTGACATATGTCTTATTTGCTTGACATATATCTTATTTGATGAGATGTCTGTTTAGGTTTTTGTCTCTTTTTAAAGTCTGACTGTTCATTTTATTATTGTTGAGTTTTAGGAGTTGTTTAGATATTTTGGTCCTTTATCATATAGGCCTTTTGCAAATATTTTCTTTTAATCTGTGGTTTATCTCTTCATATACTTGACAGTGTCTTTCACAGAGAAGAAATTTTCAGTTTTAATTAAATCCAGTTTATCAATTATTTATTCATGGATCATGCCTCTGGGGTTGTACTAAAAAGTCACTGCCATAGCTAAGGTCACCTAGATTTTCTCCTGTGTTCTCTTCAAGTAGTTTTATAGTTGTGTATTTTACATTTTGGTCTGTTATTAATTTTAAGTCAATTTTGGTGAACTATTATGTTATGTGTCTAGATTTATTTATTTTTTTACGTTTGGATATCCAGTTGTCCCAACACCATTTGTTGAAAAGACTGTCTTTACTTCATTGTATTTCCTATGCTTTTTTGTCAAAGGTCAGTTTACTTTATTTACATAGATCAATTTCTGTGCTCTTTTTTCTGTTCCATTATTCTATTTGTTTATTCTTTAGCCAATACCACAATCTGCTAATTACTGTAGCTTTATAGTTCAGTCTTGACATCAGGTAGTGTCAGTCCTCCAACTTTGTATTTCTCTTTTAGTATTGTGTTGTGTTGCCTGTTCTTGGTCTTTTGCCTCTCCACATAAACTGTAGAATTTGTTTGTCGATATTTGCAAAATAACTAAGTGGAATTTTGATTGGAACTATCTTGAATCTATTAATCAAGTTGGAAATAACTAATGTCTTAATGATATTTAGTGTTGCTATCCATAACATGGAATATTTCACTTAGTTCTTATTTAATTTTTTCATCAATTTTGAAGTTTTTCTCATGTAGATGTTGTACATATTTTGCTAGATTTGTATCTAAATATTTTGAGTTTTGGATGCTAATGTAAATGGCATTGTTTTTACTTCACATTCCCCTCCTTCATTGCTAGTATGTAGGAAAGCAATTGACTTTTGTATGTTTACCTTCTACCCTGCAACCTTGCTGTAATTGTTTTTTGGTTCCAGAAGGTTTTTTCATCAATCCTCTCAGAATTTCTACATAGACAATCTTTTCATCTATGAACAAAGACAGTTTCATTTCTTTTTTCCCAATCTAGTATACCTTTTCTTATTGCATTGGCTAGGACTGGTAGTGTGATGTTGAAAGGAGTAGCTATCTGTGCCTTGATCCTGATCTTAGCATGAAAGGGTCTAGTTTTTCAAAACCTATGTATGATGTTAGCCCTAGGTTTTTTTAAATAGATGTTCTTTATTAAGGTTAGAACATGGCCTGCTATTCTTAGTTTGCTGAAAATTTTTATCGCCATCGTTATTATTATTCAAAGTGGGTGTTGGCCAGGCATGGTGGCTCACACCTGTAATTCTAGCACTTTGAAAGGCCAAGGCAGGTGGATCATCTGAGGCTAGGAGTTCGAGACCTGCCTGGCCAACATGGCAAAACCTGGTCTCTACTAAAAATATGAAAATTAACAGGATGTGGTGGTGCATGCCTGTGATCCCAGCTACTCGGGAGGCTGAGGAAGGAGAGTCACTTGAACCTGGGAGGCAGATGTTGCCGTGAGCTGTGATCATGCCACTGCACTCTAGCTTTGGTGGCAGAGCAAGACTCCGTCTCAAAAAAAAAAAAAAACAACAAAAAAAAGAAAAGGGTGTTGGATTTTTTCTTTTTTCTTTTTTGAGAGAGAGTCTTGCTTTCTCACCCAGGCTGGAGTGCCGTGGTGCGATCCCAGCTCACTGCAACCATCACCTCCTGGGTTCAAGTGATTATCCTGCCCCAGCCTCCTGAGTAGCTGGGATCACAGGAACCCACCAACACGCCCGGCTAATGTTGTATTTTTAGTGGAGACAGGGTTTCGCCATGTTGGCCAGGCTGGTCTCAAACTCCTGACCTCTGGTGATCCACTCACCTCGGCTTCCCAAAGCGCTAGGATTACATGCATGAGCCACTGCGCCAGGCTGGATTTTTTCAAATGCCTTTTCCATGTCTATTGAAATGATCTCATGTGATTCTTTTCCTTTAGACAATGTGATGATTACATGAATTGATTTTCAAGTGTTGCGTTACCTTTGCACATCTAGGGTAAACCTCACTTGGTTGTAATGTATAAAAAAATTTGTATAAAATATGTAAATAGTTTTTATAATGTATAAAAATAATTATTTTATACACTGTTGAATAAGATTTGCTAATATTTTGTGGAGGATTTTTCATCTAGCTTTATAGAAAAAGAAGTATTCCCTGTGCTTCTATCTCTTGAAAGAGATTGTAGAAAATTAGTATACATTATTTCTTAAATGTTTAGTAGAATTTACCAGTGAATCCATCTGGGCCTGGTGCTTCCTGTTGTGGAAGGTTAATTATCGATTCAATGTCTTTAATAGATGTATCTCAATGGGTTTATATATGTATATACACACACACACATTTATTTATGTCTTTGTTAATTTCACTAATCATTTTTCTGAAGCTTTCTAGACACAGATATTGCTCATATATTTTATAACTTTTAAAAAATGTCATGTTTTTGATGCTTGTGTAAATTCCATTTTTATTGCATATTCTTATTATCCATTGTTGTTATGTAGAACTAAATTAAATTTTAAATATTGAGCTTCCATCCTTCATATTATTAAATTCACGCATTAGTTCTAGCAACTTTTTTCATATATTACTTAGAATTTTTTCTGTGTATTATCATGTGTTTTGAAGATTTAAAAAATTTGTGTTTTTTTTTTTAAATTCTGCCTACCAGTTATTCCTTTTCCTTGTGGTATTGCACTGGCTAGAACCTCCAGTACCATATTCAATAAAAAGTGTGAAATAAATTGTCAATAAATATTTATTTCTTGAGATTGCAGAGAGGATGCATTCGATTATTCACCATTAAGTCTGACATTAGCTGTAGATTTTGTTCAATGCCTTTTAATAATTTAAGAAAGTTTTCATCTGTTCTTGGTTATTTCTTGCTAATAAAAACATATAAATTTGTAAATTTTTTTAAAGCACTGTTAAAGAAAGGTCTGTAAACTTTCTTTTAATCACAGTTTTTATTTTTCTGCAGGCCACAAAGTTTTATGGATTATGGCTTTAATCATCATTTGTTTAAAATTATTTCTAAATTCTTATAATTGCTTCTTTGACTTAGGTAATATTTAGAAGTGAGTTATTTAATATCTAAAAACTTGAGAAGTTGTCTAGATATTTCTGATACTGATTTATATTTTAATTTGATTGGATCCAGGTAACTTGCTTTCAGTGGCTTAAATATTTTTAGAGTATTGAAGCTTGGCATAAAATAAGGTATATCTTAGTAATTGTTCTTTGTGGATTTAAAAAATGTGTTTATTTCATCTTGGTGGATTGTGTGGTCTATAAATGTAAATTATTTCAAGTTGATTGATAGTGTTTAATATTCTAGGTCTTTGCTAATTTTCTGTCACTAATGCTATTTCTGTGGATAACTGCTCTCAGTTTGAGAAACAGTTTTTGACTTGCTAACGAGCCTTAATAAGACTGAATGCTTAATCAGGGCACCAGGTTACCCTGGGACCTGAGCTGCCCATGAGGAACTGGGTGTTATCTGACCTGCAAAGCTTATGGTGGGACATGCACAACAGGATTTCACAATCAATTGGAAGGGGTATAAACATGACTGGGGTTTTGAATGTGTCTGAAGGCAGTATGAAGTTACATGATGAAGTGGCCCAAATGCCCACAGTCTCAATTCCTATTTGTATTAGTCTGTTCTCACATTGCTATAAAGAAATAACTAAGACTGGATAATTTTTAAAGAAAAGAGGTTTAATTGGCTCACCGTTGGGCAGGTTGTACAGGAAGCATGGCTGGGGAGGCCTCAGGAAACATTCAGTCATGGTGGAAGGGGAAGGGGAAGTAGGCATGCTTTACATGGCCAGAGCAGGAGGAAGAGAGAGGAGGAGGAGATGCTGCACACTTTTAAACAACCAAATCTCGCGATAACTATCACAAGAACAGCACCAAAAGGGAAATCTGCCTTTCTGATCTAATCACCTCCCACCATGCCCCACCTCCAACATTGGAGATTACAATTTGATATGAGATTTGAGTGGGGACACAGACCCAAAACATATCACTGCTGCACTGTCTTCTGTCTTCCAGCCCAATGTGGCAGGGGCCAGGTGGTGGCACTTTGCTCTCAGTGAAGTGTTTACATCTCCATTTATAAGTAATACTTGTTTCCTCCACATTTGAGTTTTTCATGCATTTTACAGCTTTATGCACATTTAGATTTATATTGCCTTCTTGAGGAATTGACACTTTTATCATTATGAAATGTTTCTGCTTATTCCTAATATTATTTCTTATTATCGTGGTTTGCCTTCTTAGTTTTTAATGTACACATTTAGTTTATTTATGATTAGCATTTGGATGATATATTTCTCTTTGTTCTCTTAATCAACCCATGTCTCTGTGGGCATATAATTGGGTCTTGGTTTTTTATCCAATCTCACATTACCTGTCTTTTAGAAAAATGTATTGTACAATAACGTACATAAGATAAAATATACCACTGTAACTATTTTTAAGTATATGATTCAATGCTGTTAATTAAATTCACACTGTTATGCAACAAATCTCTAGAATTTTTTTATATTGGAAAACTGAATCTGTATACCCATTAAATACTAATTTCCTTGATGGCCTTCCCCAGCCCTTTCCAACCATCTTTCTACTTTTTGTTTCCATGATTTTGACTACATTAGATATTTTATATTAGTGCAAACATAAATGATGTATTTCATGTCTGGCTTATTTCAGTTAGTATAGTGTCCTCAAGATTCAACCTTGTTTTAGCATGTAGTAGGATTTCCTTCTTTTTTAATGCTGCATAATAATCTGTTGCATTTTCCACATTTTATTCGTCTATTCGTTACTGATGGGCATTTGGGTTGCTTCCACCTCTTGGCTATTGTTAATTATGATACCAAGAACATTGGTGTGCAGATAACCTCTTCAAGATACTGCTTTGAATTGTTTTGGATGCATACCCCACAGTGAGGTTTTAAATCATATAATAATTCTATATTTTATATGATTCTATTTTTATGTGATTTTTTGGATGAACCTCTCTAGTATTTTTTGTAATGGTTGCATCATTTTAAATTTCCACCAGCACAAGGATTCCAATTACTCTACGTACACACCAACATTTGCTGTTGCTTGTTCTTTTGATAGAAGCCATGCTATAGAGTTTAAGGTTTTGACTTGCATTACTCTTATGATTTTATAGGTGACCATGTCTCATGTAATAGACTGAAAGTCACAGTTCCACCCTTACTGGAACTGCCTTGAATCCAGATGAGAACTTTAGGGTCATTTCTGCCACACTCTTGTGTACCTTCTTGACCTTCAATCTCTTGCAAAATCCCTCTTCTGGTCTAAGATTTTAAAAATATACCGTTATTTTCCATCTGTATATCTTCTTTGTAAGATTCAGACATTTTGTTCATTTTTAAATTGGGTTGTTTCTTGTTTTTGAGTTTCAAAAGCTTTTTATGTACTCTAGTTAAGTCTTTTATGAGATATGTGATTTCCAAATATTTTTCCCTGTCTATAGCTTTTTTTCATTCTTTTAATAATGTCTTTCTTTGAGCTAGTATTTTCACAAAAATGAAGTCCAACTTGTATTTTTTTTCTCCTGTATGGATTATGCTTTTGCTATCATATCTAAAAACTCATCATCAACACCAGGAATACAGAGGTTTTTGTCCTGTGTTTCATTTTAGATATTCTGTGGTTTTGTGTATTACCTTTAAGTCTACAATTTCTTTCCACACTTGTGCAAGGTGTGATGTCTGTATTGAGATTCATCTTTTTGCATGTGGACATCCAATTGTTCTATCTTGCACACTTGTGCAAGGTGTGATGTCTGTATTGAGATTCGTCTTTTTGCATGTGGACATCCAATTGTTCTATCACCGTCAATTGAAATGACGACCCTTTCTCCATTGAACTGCCTTTGAATCTTTTTCAAAAATCAGTTGAAGGTCTATTTCTGGGCTCTTTTTTCTATTCCATTTTTCTGTGCGTCCATTTTGTTTTGCCAATATCATTCTGTCTTGATTATGATAGCTTTAGAGGAAAATCTTGAAATTAGATAAGGTAATTTCTCCAAACTTGGTTCTTTCTTCTCAAAATTTTGGTGGCTATTCTGTGTCCCTCACTACAGGCATACCTTATTTTATTGTGCTTTACTTAATTGCAATTCACACCTGTGTCAAGCAAGTTACCTGTGCCACTTGTACAACAGCATGTGCTCGTTTTGTATCTGTTTGCCTTTTTTAGCAATAAATCATTTTTTAACTAAGGTTGAACATTTATAGACATAATTTGCTTTACACATTCAGTGGACTACAGTATAGTGTAAACATAACTTTTATATGCACTGGGAAACCAAAAAATATACATCACTTGCTTCATTGAAATACTTGCTTTATTGCAATGGTTTGGAAATAAACCTGCAACATCTCTGAGGTAAGCCTATATTGTTAGTTTTGTGTTTTAAACTCTCTATATGACCCTTGATGAGCACATTAAATGATAATACTTATGTGTTCAATTTTGAAGTAGTAGTTTTTAACTATTAATATTTCTTTCACTTTATTTTTGCCTTCTTAAATTCTTATTAGTTGATATTGGAAGTCCTGGAAATAGCTTCTCTGTTTCTTATTTATTCTTTCAGATCTTTCACTTTTAAAATATTTTTGTGTTTAATTCACAGAAACTTTCTAGTTTTGATGTTCAACCTCACTAATTATCTTTCAGATATAGCCAGACTCTTATTCAGGATAATGATTTACTTAAAAATCATCAGTTACGTGGTCATTTATATCATCTATAATTGATTCATTTTTATGATTTTCTGTCTTTTCTTCAGTAAGAACTCTCTGCTCTTCGCCACATGCTGGCATTGTCACACAGTGGTAAAGCACATTGCTTCTCTGCCAGGCTCTTACACTCATTTGATGTATCATCTTTGGAGAGTTACTTAATCTCTGTTTCTTGAAATGAAAAATAGTTTTTCTGAGGATAAAAAATTACAAAAAAACATACGAAGTGCTTCGGACCATACTAGGCATTTGATAAGCCCTCATTACGCATTAGAAAATTATAGAACTAGTTTTTTGTTACACTCAATCCCTACTCCTTATAATGTCTATTTTTATTTTTCTAAAGATATTAAATATACTTATATTAAGGTCCTGTTTTATTCACACATGATACAGTTTTGTATATGTGTTCGCTCCAAATCTCATGTTGAAATGTGGTTCTCAGTGTTGGAGGTGAGGTCTGGTGAGAGGTGTTTGGGTCATGGGGGTGGATCCCTCATGGCTTGGTGCTGTCCTTGCAATGGTGAGTGAGTTCTCGTGAGATCTGGTCATGTAAAAGTGTGTGGCACTTCCCCCTACCCCCACTCTCCTCCTTGCTTCTGCTTTTGCCATGTGCAAGTTCCTGCTTCACCTTCTGCCATGAGTAAAAACTCTCTGAGGCCTCCCCAGAAGCCAAGCAGATGTTGGTCCCATGCCTGTAGAGCCTGCAGAACGGTGAGCCAACTAAACCTCTTTTCTTTATAAACTACCCAGTCTCAGGTAGTTCTTTATAGGAATGCAAGAACAGCCTAATACAACACACTTTATGGTTTTCTCAGGAGTGATTTGATAAATTACTCCTTTTATTTGTTGAATTTGTTATTGTCCCTTCTTGGTGTAGATGTACCTCAGAAGTTAGATAGATTTTTATTGTGGACTTGCCATTGGAGTGGAGATTGTGTCAGACCTTTTGCTGCCTTTGTTTTGCATTCAGTCTGGGAGAATGCATTGGATTTAACTTAGTAGCTTACATTGGTTTAAGGGAATAATGGGATGAGATTTGCCTCCAGTCTGGGTGATGAGCAGATAGCCTTCTGAGCCTGTGTGCTCCTTTTTCTTTCTGCCATTTCCAGTCATAGGCAGTATTGCCCTGTTTCTCTCTACCCAATTCACAGACTGTTCCAGCTTAAAATTAGAGACTTCTCTTGACATTTGTTTGCCTTGGAAGAGAAATGGTGGGTTTAGTAGGATAGACCTCTGTCTGCATCTGTAGACTTAGTCCAGTTACGCCCCCCTGAAGAATTTAATGGCATCACCTGCTGTTTCTGGATGCCATCACAATAGGATCATGAGCATTGTTAGTACCCAATTTGTGATAGTTTATAACTCTTGTCCCTGGAGGTATAGTCTTCCTCACTAGCTTCTTGTCTGCTTTCAGTCTCTTAGCTCTTTTTCCACAGTTTTATATGTTGAGAGAGAGATGCTAAATGTCTCTAAATAGGTATGACTGCACATATGTATGTATATATTAAAATTTGTTACTGGTTCGTTATATTTTGTGTGGCATGTGTGCCTGCAGCCATGTCTAATTTATCTTGACTAAAAATGCAAGTGTTTTTCTAAATAGAAGCAGTTAATATAGTGTTAATAATGCTAAAATGCTAAATATATATATTTTTTTAAAAATGTACTTTTCATTTTTATTTTATTTTATTTTTATTTATAGGTTTTTGGGGAGCAGGTGGTATTTGGTTACATGAGTAAGTTCTTTAGTGGTGATTTGTGAGATTTTGTTGCACCCATCACCCGAGCAGTATACACTGAACCCAATTCATAGCCTTTTATCCTTCAGCCCCTTCCTACCCTTTCCCCCAAGTCCCCAAATTCCATTGTGTCATTCTTATGCCTTTGCATCCATAGCTTAGTTCCCACTTATGAGTGAGAACATGTGATGTTTGGTTTTCTATTCTTGAGTTACTTCACTTAGAATAATGGTCTCCAAACTCACCCAGGTCACTGCAAATGCCATTAATTCCTTTCTTTTTATGGCTGAGTAGTATTCCATCATGTATATATACCACAGTTCCCCTTCACTTTTATTTTAAAAAGTCACCCCACACATTAAATTGGTCACATTGTTCCTGAATTTATTAAGATATTAAATTCTTACTATTTAGAATAATAAATTCTAAAGATTATGTTCATTTTTAATAGATAGACTCTTTTTATTAACTTGGATGAATATTGTTTTATTTTATATATTTCTGGTTTCCTTCACAATCTTTACTGATGTGTTTTATTTTAGATGATTTACATCATTACAATTGATGGACAACCTTACACTCTACATCTCGGAAAACAGTAAGATATGATTTTTTTTTCATTAAGGAAAAGGGAAAGCTTTAAGTTTAGATTTTACAGCCTTAAAGTTTTTGTGCAGTATTTAAATTCAGGAATGCTGTATAATGTAGACTTGTTTTATCAATCAACTTCCCAATTTAGGATTCATTAGGTTTTGAATATCAGATCTATAGAGCTCTTTCATTTTAATTTTCGCTTGATATTTTCAAATTATGAAATAAACTACATACTTGTAAAATCTCAAATTGCATATAAGCCGTTGAACCCAAGAACAGCAAGTTATATATTAAGTATATCTGGTGTGAAATCAAACATAGTTATGTCACTGGTGTCCGTGTGAAGAGACCACCAAACAGGCTTTGTGTGAGCAATAAAGCTTTTTAATCACCTGGGGGCAGGCGGGCTGAGTCCGAACAGAGAGTCAGCAAAGGGAGATAGGGGTGGGGATTATAGGATTTGGGTAGGTAGTGGAAAATTACAGTCAAAGGGGGTTGTTCTCTGGCGGGCAGGGGCGGGGAACACAAGGTGCTCAGTGGGGGAACTTCTGAGCCAGGAGAAGGAATTTCACAAGGAAATGTCATCAGTTAAGGCAGGAACTGGCCATTTTCACTTCTTTTGTGATTCTTCATTTGCTTCAGGCCATCTGGATGTATACGACAAGTTACACATCAAGTGATTATGGTGGGAAATTCAACTAGTGACACAATTTTTATGATATGCTGATTACAAGTGTGTCTATTTTTAACAAGTTTACTGAACCTACTTTACATGTAAAATTCTCTAAAGTATAAAGTTCAATAATTTTAATGAATTTGTGCACTGTTGCCACCATCAAATATAAATCAGTTTTAGAACATTCTTTCCCCACGTAAGAGCCCTCATGTTTTCTCAGTTAGCCTCTTTCTCACTCACAACTCCAAGCAACAATCTACTGTTTGTATCTTGATTTGTATTTTCTCAACATTTTATAAAAATAAAGTAGCCTCTTCTCTGTCTGCATCTTCAAACATATGTATTTATAGCAACTGTCCCTTGTCTGCCTGCTTCTTTGTAATTGAACAAGGCTAGAGGAAATTATTCTCACTTAATTCATGACTACCCTACTTAATTCACGTTTACTTTTCTTCCTCTACAACTCCACAAGTGTTTTCTGATAGAATCATCAGTGGTCCTCATGTTTTTGAATGCTCTGTTTGTGTTTTAGTCTTAATTTTTCTTAACCAGTTGGCAGCATTGATCATAGTTGACCAGTGTCTCCCCCGTAAAATACTTTCTTCATTTGGCTTCCAGAATACCACAGACTCCTGCTCCTGATTTTACTCTGAAGTACTCTGGGTACTTCAGTGCTCTCTCACTCTCTCTCTGTCTCTCCTTTCTCTATTTTTTTTTTTTTAATTCTTTCTCATCTCTCGAATCTTAGAGTACTCCATAGTATGGTTTCTGCATTCTGGTTTTTTTTTTTCCCCCTAGCTATATTCAATCATCTGGTTGTTTAATTCTTGTGACTTTAAATACCATCCACATGTTGGTTGCTCCCAAATTAACATCTCTACCTTATTCCTCTTAAATAAATGCCATATTCACTTATCTGAGTACTTAGTTGATAACCAAGTATTTACTAGAATCCTCATAGGTAACATGTCCAAATGGAATTCTGACTTTCTTCTCAATTTGTCTTTCTCACAGTCATGTCAGGAATTGGCAAATATATAAGTTTTTCAGGAAAAAAAAACATGTAAAAAGTCGGAGTCATACTTGACATCTTTCTGTCGTTTTCCCCTATTTCCAGTGGATTATAAACCTCTGTATTCAAAATATATCTATATCTATATCTAAACCCTACAAAATATATCCAGAATTAGACCTACCCCACTGATGCTATCTTAGTTCAAAGCACCATCATGTCTTACATCTAAATGTCTCCCTGTTTCTTCTGCTTGTTTGTCCTGCAGATTATTCTCAACACAGTGCTGATTTTATTAAAACATTGGTCTGATGCTGTCTTTATCTGCTCAAACCCTCCAATGCGTCTCATCTCTGTGACACTGTCTCTTACTATAGTCTGTCTTCATCACTCCACACTCCAGTCATATTGCCCCCTAGTTGTTCCTTGTTTGTACAAAGCATATTTCTGCTTGAGGGTCCTTGCATTTTCTATTAATTCTTTCTAGAATAACACTTCTGTGAAAATTCATGTGGTTTATTCCTCAGGTATTTAATCATCTATTCAGAGAGGTTTTCCATGCCACCCTATCTACATTTTGTAACCACCCTCCCCAGGCCTTATCTATTGTCATCTAATTGCTAGTACTATGTGCCCCTGGCTGTCACAAAGACTAAGGCTTTTTGTCTCTTGCCTAACTCTGAATCCCAGCACCTACATGAGGGTCCGTCAGATAGTGAACACTCAGTACATTTGTTGAACGTCATCATACACAGCTATACATACATATGTCTGATGCAGAGGAATCCCAGAGTCTGTCCCAGTGCTAAGTCTAAACTCTTTGATTCACCAGTTCTATGAATTTCAACTGTTATGCCTCACTAAAATCACTCAATTAAATCATGCCATTATATAAAGCTAATTAAATCGTGTTATATAAAATGTATGTAATATTTGTTTTTAACATTATATTAAGATTATGATTCATACTTTTTTATTATTTCTTGGTTTTTTAGATCATTCTTACCCCAGAACTTTTTGGTTTATACATATAATGAAACTGGATCTTTGCATTCTGTGTCTCCATATTTTATGGTAAAGTAAGATACCTTATTTTTTTTGTTAAAGTGGTTATATTATTACCATTAGAATGTGTTTCATGTTGACAGTTTAATACAAATGTTTTATCCTTACTGACATGTTACTGACTTTTGTACATAGAAATGGCATGTGATAGAGATGAAACCCAGCTGCAAGCGAATACTCACAGGGACTCTCTTGTGCCTGTGGTGCAAAATAAAGAGAATTGTCACAAATCTTTTTTTTTCTGAAAATATGCATTAATAATTAATGATCTTATTATTAAATCTTTTAATATTTTGAATCTTCTGACATGTTTGACAATACATTTTTTATTCACAACGAATTTATATACTTGCCTTTCTATACTGTTTTTCAGATGCATTGCCATTACCAAGGATATGCTGCCGAATTTCCAAATTCATTTGTGACACTCAGTATATGTTCTGGTCTCAGGTAATAGCACCTTATAAGAAATCTATAGATGGAGAACTTAAGATAGTCTTTAAAACAAAACTTAGTGACTAGCAGACACAAATCATGGAAGTTTAAGGGAAATCAAAATGGAAAGTTTTCTTTCTAACAGCTTTATTCTATTTGTATTAATGTTAATACTTAGACCTAAGGGCCTATTCCCATGAAATCAATCCAGGGTTATCGTGGAAAATGGAATAGTTTCATGGAAGAAAACTTTAAAATATCTCCTTAAGTATGATTGTTGCATTCTGCATCTGTTTTCTCAAATAGTTATGGAAAATGGCATTAGTTAGTTATATAAATATAATAGGAAAATATAGTATGGTCTCAGCTTAGTACCAGATATAAAACAACTAGTTAAGAAGATCCCTCAGGAATAAAGGATAGGGATAAGTGATTTCTGTTAGTGATGCTGGGAGTCTCACTTATGATAAGTTCATCAGGAAAAAAAGGATCCGGAGCAGAGAAAAAATGCTCCCTCTAACTTTCCTTTGGTTTCAATTGCCTGATTTCCAGAATTGAGTCACATCAACTCAGAAACTTGGCATTCTCTGAATGTGGTTTTTATAGATAACAACCTCATTAGATATATAGTCTACATACATGCCGTCCCTTATCAAACCTCTGGAAGAACAGGAACGTTTTTCCTGGAATTCTCAACAAATATATTTGTTTGTGGCAAATTTGGCCTTAATTAATGTGATTGCCTTACAAAAATGTTCTTTATTGCATTTAGATCTTTAAAATTTAAGCAAAACGAAGCCAGATATGGTGGCTCTTACTAATGATAAACTGCCCCCCCAAAAAATAATGGAAAAAGAAAATGGGCTTAAAATGTGTTCTTTAGTATAGTTTTTTAATTTCTTATGCCATTTCAGATTATCATTTTGAAGGGATCATTTGTGAGATTTTTATAACTATTTTCTTATGCCTTCTAAATTTTCAGGGGATTTCTCCAGTTTGAAAATATCAGTTATGGAATTGAACCAGTAGAATCTTCAGCAAGATTTGAGCATATAATTTATCAAATGAAAAATAATGATCCAAATGTATCCATTTTAGCAGTAAATTACAGTCATATTTGGCAGAAAGACCAGCCCTACAAAGTTCCTTTAAACTCACAGGTGACTGTCATCATTCTGATGTTATGACATACTAGAACATTGCCTGTGTAGTTTTCTTGTAAATCATGAAAGGAATTTAGTTAGCTGTTGAGTAGGAATATTAAATTTTATGTATTTTTCTACCTTTAAATAAAACATTGAAACTTCATCTAAAATATTTGGAAAGTTACATATTTCAAGCTTAATATTTTATGATGTATTATGTAACATTAATTTTTATATTTTTTTCAAACAAAATGATACTATTGAAAAAGTTTAGAAATGCAGAAAGAACAGAGTCACTGTTATTCTAGTACCTTGGTAAAATTACTTTTAATATTTTGTTATATATCTTACATACTACCTGAACATATCTTTCTAAAATGCACAGCCATTTGCATGTTGCCAGATGCTCTTAATTTGCTGGTAGACTAGGTATAGAATTCTTGCTGGCAGTTTCTTTCTTTCAGCACTTTGAATATTTCAATCCATCACCATGTGGCCTCTGTTTTTTCTGATAAAAATATTCTATTATTCTTATTGGGAATTCCTTGGACAAAATGAGTTGCTTCTCTTTTGTTTCTTTTGAGATTCTTCCTTTGCCTTTGTCTTATGGCAGTGTGCTTATCATGTTTCTATGAATGGATCTCTTTGTGTTTACCATACTTGGAGCTCAAAGCACTTCTTGGGTCTGTAAATGGATGTGTTTTGAAATTAAATTAGCTTGTGTGAATCCTGAAAAAAAAAATCCCATGAAGCTATGAAACCAACTATCTGTATGGTTCCTAGAGACTTCACACTTTTATTCTACTTTAAAATTTGTCTCGATTTTGTAGTTCATTATTGCCAAAAGTATTTACTGGGATAAATAAAAAAAGCATTCTTCTCGGGTTTCTGGTTTCAGGTAAGAGATATGGAAAGCTGGAAACAGCATTGCTTCCACATATACATCAGAGTAAAAGTTGGACAAACTGCACATTAATTATTTTTATGGAATACATCAAAAAGCTGAGGTTGCAGATTAAATCATTATCCAACATGTGGAGAAAAAAAAAAGTGCCTATAGGTTGTGATGGGAACCAAATGTATAAAAAATAGAGTTTTTCTTTTTCCTTTTCTTGTGACCACAATTAATTTGGTATCAGTTCAAAATAACCTGCTAAGACTATATGATGTTCTTTCTAAGCCTCATGATAACCACAAAGCAAACATTTTTAACAGACACACTAAAAGTGGAAAGCAAGAAATCAAAACATACTTGATAGAGAAAAAATCACTTAACCACAAAGGAAGATAGCAAGACATGAAAAAAATGAAGAAGTTTATACAAAACAACTAGAAAACAAATAAGAATATGGTAATACCAACTTCTTACCCATAAACAATTACCTTGAATGTAAATGAATTATACTATCCAGCTAAAAGAAATAATGTGGCTTAATTAGTGAAAAAAAAAAAGGGAGGGAGGAGAGCAAAGATGGCCAACTGGACACAGCCAGGAAGGTTATCTCCCACCGGAAAACCAGACAAAGAAGATCAACACATTCTGAGCAAATCTTTGGAAGGAAGGAATTGAGGGTGGGTGGAGGGAGGATGTAGACCCTGTGCTGAATGGGGAGGAAGCTGGGGACCCTGCACAGGGCTGTTAAGAACTGGGACTCATCCCTGGCTCCCAGCAGCTCCTAGGGAAGAGGTGAGTTAAATGTTAGAGGAGTGGCCCACTCTCACTATAAAAACCTCCAGAATTCTAGCTGCAGGAGACCCCATGACCCCCACAGACACTTGATCTGGCAGAGAGAGCTGCTTGGAGAAGTGGCAGGGACAGGACCCCAGCCTGTGCAGAACCCAGGGGGTTTGGTTCAGGAAGAGCTGCAGTGGAGTAAAGCCAGGAGCGCTCATACCCCAAGGCTCTTCACACTCCTCTAGGTGGCTTTGGTTTTTGTTGATTGTTGGACCTGGACAAAACAAGCCTGCCTTGCCTGTGGGACAAGGCCATTCTGATTTGAGCACCCTACTGTCTGACATATTCTTCTGGGGTTCCTCCTTGGCTACATTCATTTGCAGCACAACCTCAGATGCCCAACCTGAATGCTTCCCTGTTGCTGCTGCCATAGCTCCTTCATCAGCAGACCCTGCCTAACCATTGGAGAGATTTAGCAAATGGGCTCTTGCCAACATGCATGTGCTAATAGCCTCCTCCCACCACTTTGTTGGTGCACACTCACCCATAGCCTCCCCCATTATTTTTCTGGTATGTGTGCATGGACCTTGCTGTTGCAGCCTCACCCCTGCCAGTACATGTACACATGCAGACCCCATAGAGCTACCACCGCTAGAACACACCTGGATGCGTGGACTCCACCATGTCTCCCTGTTGCTGCTGCCATGCATGCATGCATCGAACCCAACATGCCGCTACCACCACAGGTACATACATGCATGCAGACCCTGCTACACCACTGTCCAGCCACTGCTGGTCTGCATGCAGGAGTGCAGACCCTGCTGCCATCACCCTGACAGAGCACTTTTGACAGCACCCCCAAATGGAATATTGTTGCCAGCATATCAGGAATAACTTGGCCTCTCAAGCACAGCAGGTACTTAACCTTGATGGGCCAAAGAACAAAGCCATGGGCCTGATTTCAGCCCCCCAGGGTTAGAGCATGCAGCCCAGGAGTACTAAACCAAGTATGAGCCCTCTAAAATCATCCAGAAACAAAGTCGGTTGACTGAACCCAACTTACAAACATGGTCAAACTCTCAAAGCATCAAAGAATATAAAAGCAAAAAGCCCCACCCAAAGGACAAAAACTTTAAACAAACATCAACCCACACAGATCAGGAAGAACCAGCACAAGAACTCTGGCAACTCAGAAGCCAGAGTGTCTTCCTACCTACAAATGACTGTACTGTATCTCTGTCAATGGTTCTTAACCAAGCTGAAACGACTGAAATTACATACTTAGAATTCAGAATCTGGATGGCAATAAAGATCATCAAGATTTAGGAGAAAGTTGAAACCCAATCTAAGGAATCTAAAGAATCCAATTAAACAATGAGGAAGTGAAAGAGGATATAGCCATTTAAAGAAAGAATCAAACTGCTATAATAAAGCTGAAAAATTCACTAGAAGAGTTTCATAGTACAATCAGAAGTATTAACAACAGAATAGACAAAACTAAAGAAATAATTTCAGAGCTCAAAAACTGTTTTGTCAAATCAATTCAGTCAGACAAAAATAAAGAAAAAATGCAAAAGAATGAATAAAACCTCTGAGAAATATGGGATTATGTAAAGAGAACGAACCTATCATTGTCATCCCTGAAATGGAGTGAAAGAGAGAGAGCAAGCAACTTGGAAAACATATTTGAGGATATTTTTCACAAAATATTTCCAAACTTTACTAGAAAGGTTATCATCCAAATTTAGGAAATTCAGAGAACCCCAGGAAAATGCTATACGAGACAACCATCCCAAGACACATAGTCATCAGATTCTCCAAACTCAATGTGAAAGAAAAAATATTGCAAATAGAGACAAGGGACAGGCCACCTACAAAGAACACCCCATTAGGTGAAGAGTAGATTTCTCAGCAAAACCCTGTGAGCCAGAAGAGATTGAGAGCCTATATTCAGCATTCTTAAAGAAAATAAATTTCAACCAAGAATTAAATATCCATCCAAACTAAACTTCATAAGCAAAGAAGAAATAAAATCCTTTTCAGACAAGCAAATGCAGAGAGAATTTGTTCCACCAGACCCTGCTTTACAAGAGGCCCTTAAGGGAATGCTAAACATGGAAACAAAAGACCATACAGGGCACAAAAGAACACTAAGTACATAGACAGTTGACACTATAGAGAAACTACACAATCAAATCTTCTTAACAGCCAGCTAACAACACAATAACAGGATCAAATCTGCACATATCAATATTAACTTTGAATGTAAAGGGGAAAAACACCCCACATAAAAGCATGGCAGGTTGCATGAAGAAGCAAGACCCAACTGTATAATTTCTTCAAGGGACCCATTTCACATTCAGTGACACCCATAGATTCAAAGCAAGAGATGGAGAAAAATCTACCAAGCAAACTGAAAACACAAAACACAGGGGTTGCTATTCTAATTTCAGATGGAATAAACTATAAACCAACAACAATAAAAATGGACAAAGAGCACTGCATAGTGATAAAGGGTTCATATCAACAAGAAGATTTAACTATCCTAAACAGATTTTCACTTAACACTGGCACGCCCAGATTCATAAAGCAAGTTCTTGGAGACCTACAAAGAGATGTAGATAACTGTGCAATAACAGTAGGAGACTTCAACACTCCACTGACAGCATTAGACAAAATATTAAGGCAGAAAACTAACAAAAATATCTGGGACCTAAACTCAGCATTTGACCAAATGGACCTAACATACATCTACAAAACACTCCACCCTAAGAACAGAATATACATTTTTCTCATGTGCACATGGCATGTACTCTAAAATCAACCACATGCTCGACCATAATGCAATTCTCAACAAATTAAAAAAAAAAAAACATACGGACCACACTTTTTGGAACACAGTACAATAAAGATAGAAGTTCACACCAAGAAGATCTCTAAAAACCATACAATTACATGAAAAGTCAGCAACTTACTCCTGAATGACTTTTGGATAAATGATGAAATTAAGGCAGAAATCAAGAAATTCTTTTAAACCAATGAAAACAAAGATACAACATACCAGAATCTCATTCAGTAGCAGGTTGTTTAACAAAATCCCACATGAGCATCTCAGCAGATACAGAAAAGACTTTCAATAAAATTCAATATCCTGTTATGTAAAGAACCCTTAACAAACTAGGTATTGAAGGAACATACTTCAAAATAATGAGTCATCTATGACAAACCCACAGTAAATATACTCAACAGGCAAAAGCTGGAAGCATTCCTCTTAAGAACCAGAACAAGACAAGCATGCCCACACTCACCACTCCCATTCAACATAGTACTAGAAGACCTCACCAGAGCAATCACGTAAGAGAAAGAAAAGGCATTCAAATAGGAAGAGAAGAGGTCAATCTCTCTCTCTTCATGGATGATATGATTTTATACCTTGAAAACCCTGTAGTCTCTGCCCAAAGGCTCTTAGATGTAGCAAACAACTTCAGCAAAGTTTCAGGATACAAAATCAATGTAAAAAAAATAAGTAGCACTTGTATAAGCTAATAACAACCAAACTGAGGGGCAAATCAAGAACACAATCTCATTCACATTAGCCACAAAAAAAATATCTAGGAATATAGATAATCAGAGAGGTGAAAGATCTCTATAATGAGAATCACAAAACATTGCTGAAAGAAATCAGGTGACAGAAACAAATGGGGAAAATATTTTATGCCCATGGTTAGGAAGGAAGGATCAATATTGTTAAAATGGGCCAGCCACAGTGGCTCATGCCTGTAATCTCAGCACTTTGGGAGGCTGAGGCAGGCAGATGATCTGTTGTCAGGAGTTTGAGACCAGCCTGGCCAACATGGTGAAACCTTGTCTCTACAAAAAAAAAATTAGTCAAGAGTGGTGGCGTGCACGTGTATTCCCATGTATTCCCAGTTACTGGAAAGGCTGAGGCAGGAGAATCACTTGAACCCAGGAAGCTGAGGTTGCAGTGAGCCGAGATGGCACTACTGCACTCCAGCTTGGGTGACAGAACAAGACTCCTTCTCAAAAAGAAAAAAAATTGTTAAAATGACAGTGCATCCCAAAACAATTTACAGATTCAATGCTATTCCTATCAAACAACCAACAACGTTTTTCACGCAATTAGACAAAACTATTCTAAAATTCATATGGGACCAAAAAAAGAGCCTGAATAGCCAAAGGAATTCTGAGCTAAAAGAACAAAGCTGCAATCATCACATTATCCAACTTCTAACTAGACTTTAAGGAGGTAACCAAAACAGCAGGGTACTGGTAGAAAAACAGAAACATAGACCAAATGGAACAGGTTAGAACCCAGAAATAAAGCTGCACATCTACAACCATCTTATCTTCAACAGCATTAACAATAACAAACAACTGGGAAAATAATTTCTATTCAATAAATGTGCTGGGATAACTGGCTAGTCACATGCAAAAGATTGAAGATGAACCCCTTCCTTTCACAATATACAAAAATCAAATCAAGATGTATTAAAGACTTAAAAGTAAAAGCTAAAACTATAAAAACTCCAAAATAAAACCTAAGAAATATCACTCTGAACATAGGCCGTAGCAAAGATTTTATGATGAAGATACCAAAAGCAATTGTAACAAAACCAAAAATTGACAATTGGGACCTAATTAAACTGAAAAGCTTCTGCACAACAAAAGAAACAATCAACAGAGTAAACAGACAACCTACAGAATGGGAGAAAACATTCACAAAGTATGAATCCAGCAAATGTCTAATATCTAAAATTTACAAGAAAAAAAAGAATCCTATTTAAAAATGAACAAAGGACATGAACAAGCACATTTCAAGAGAAAACATACATGCAGCCAACAAGCATATGAAAAAATGCTCATCATCAGTAATCATTAGAGAAATACAAATCATAACCACAATGAGATACCATTCCACACCAGTTAGAATGGCTATTACTAAAAAGAAAAAGTTACAGATACTCACGAGGCTGTGGAGAAAAGGGAACACTTGTGCACTGCTGATGAGAATGTAAATTAGTTCAGGCACTGTGGAAAGCAGATTGGAAATTTCTCAGAGAACATGGAACTATCATTCGACCCAGCAACTCCATTATTGGGTATATACCCAAAGGAATAAAAATCATTCCACCATAAAAACACATGCACACATATACTTATCATAGTACTATTCACAGTAGCAAAGACATAGTATCAATCTAGATGTCCATCAGTGATGGAATGCACAATGAAAATCTGTTACATATGCACCATGGAATACTACACAGCCATAAAGAATACTGAAATTATGTTCTGTGTAGCAATATGAATGGACTTGGAGGCCATTATTCTAAGCAAAGTAATGCAGAAATAGTAACTCAAATACCACATGTTCTCACTGATAAGTGGGAGGTAAACATCGAGTACACATAGACACAAAGAAGGGAACAATAGACACTGGGCCTACTTGAGAATGTAGGGTGGGTGTAGGGTGGGGACCTATTGGGTACAATGCTCATTACCTGGGTGACACATTGATCTGTACATTAAACCCCTGTGACATGCAATTTACCTATGTATCAAACCAGCACTTCTATCCCTCCAAACCTAAAATAAAAATTGGAAATGAATAAAGTTAATAAAACCAGAAACCCTAAAACAAGACCTATTTGACGCCTCCAAAGACTCACTTTATCTGTAAGTATACACATAGACTGAAAGTAAATGGATGAAAAGTATATATTTAATACAATAAAAACCAAAATAAATTAGTATTGTGGGATCTGGCCAGCAGCCCGCAATGCAACGAGGCTCTCTCTTTGTTCCCAGGTGGATCGGCAGGTTGAGAAATAATAGACACACACAAGCTAGTGAAAACTGGGTCCAGGGGGGTCACCGCCTTCTGGTCCTGTGGTGCCCAACAATGCATTCGATATACCAGCATTTATTATTAAGTTTAGTAAGGGTGGGGGTAGGTTAGTGAGGGATTTAGGGTCATTTGATTGTGAGGTGAGATGGTCACATGGGGATGAACTAATTCTTTAACATAACATCTGTATGCAGAAGTACAGTATACAGAGATAAGAATTTACAATATAGTGTGTGCATCAGTAATTTCTAACAGAGCCTTAAACAGAAACACAGTCTTTCCATAACCTGTGATTAGCAAGATATTAATCAGCAGTAACAGTTGCAGCAAAAGCTGGTTACAAACAATCCATAGAAACACGACGTGAAGCTAGACAACCGGTTAGACCAGAAATTCTCAGAAGGGAGTATGCCTTAACCCTAAAGAGGCCTAGAAGAGCCGTGGCAAGATGAGGGCATTTATAGCCCTTTCTTATCCATATGGACAGGTGCCCCCCATGTGTCCGTTTATAGACTCCCGCAAGGGTCGCATTCCATTCCCAGAGCTATGAACATCTGCTTTTCTGGGATAGGAATCTTGGTGATGTGAAACCTCCCTGACTGCACGTTCATTCATAGGCTCTCTGCAGGGGGAAGCACATCACGCGCTGTTGGCTCATTCTGGCAGTCCAACTTGGCATTGTCTTTGCACAATCCTGCATACAACTTGGTGTTTACAATAATCAGGAGCATTTCATCTTTTATCGAGCAATAGTTTCAGGGGGTCTCCCTACAAATTAGGAGTAGCTATACTTAGATAAAAATATTCTCCAAGGAAAAAAGTATAAAAAAAGACCAACAAGGGCATTATATAATGACAAAGTGGTCAATACAAGAAAAGGATAAAACAATCACAAATATCTTTGCACCCAATATTGTAGCACCTAAATAGATAAAGCAAACATTAATAGATCTAAAGGAAAAGATAGACACATATACAATAATAGGGGATTTCAACACCTCACTTTCAGTATAGGAGGAAACATGCAGGTATAAAATCAACAAAGAAATACCACGTTTTAACTCTACTCAAGATAAAAGCGACCGAATGGACATTTACAGGAGATCTGATCCAACAACTTCAGAATTCACATGTTTTTCAACTGCTTATGGAGCATTCTCCAGGATAAGTCATATTCTGTGACACAAAACAAGTCTTAACAAAGTTTTTAAAAATTGAAATTGTATTGAATAGTTTTTCTAACTATAATGGGATAAAACTAGAAATCAATTATAAGAGAAACATTGGAAACTGTACAAATACATGGAAATTAAAAGCAACATGCTCCACATAAAAAAACAGTATCATTTCTATATGCCAATAATAACCTATCTGATAAAGAATTCAAGAAAACAATCCCATTTATAATACCTACAAAAATGAAATAACTATTAGTAAGTTTTTATAAGGAGATTGAAGATCTCCACATGAAAACTATAAAACATGGATGAAAGAAATTGAAATAGACACAGTAAATGGAAAGATATTTAATGTTCATGAATTGGAATAATTAATATTGTTAAAATGTTCATATTACTTAAAGAGACTTACAGATTCAATGCAATTTCTGTCAAAATTCTAATACCAGTCTTTACAGAAATAGAAAAAAGTCAATCCTAAAATGTATATGCAACAAGAGAACACCCCAAATATCTAAAGCAATCTTGAGCAAAAAGAGGAAAATATACTATAAAGCTATAGTAACTGAAACAGCATGGTATTGGCATTAAAACAGACACATAGACCAATGAAATAATATAGGGAGCCCAGAAACAGAACTATGCATTTACAGCCATCCTTTTTTATTTTTTATTTTTTGACAATGTTGCCAAGAACTCACAACAGAGAAAGGACAGTCTCTTCAATATATGGTGCTGGGAAAACTGAATATTCACACACAAAAGAGTGAAAGTAAATTCCTATCTCTGAACTTATACAAAAAGATCAAAATGTATTAAAGATTTAAGCTTAAAACCCCAGACCATGAAATTATTAGATGAAAAGCCTAAACGAAACACTATATGACATAGGTCTGAGCAAAGATTTTTTTAGACAGGACCTCAAAAGCACATGCAACAAAAGCAAAAAAAAAAAAAAAAACAAAAAAAAATCACAAAACAAAACAAAGAAAAAATGTAAAAAAAAACCAACAACCAACCAACCAAACAAAAACACTACAACAAACTAAAAAGCTTTTGCTTGCAAATGGGCAAGATATTTGAACAGGTAAACATACTTTCTCAAAAGAACACATACAAGTAGCCAACTGTTATATTAAAAATATAATAATTTATATATTATATATGTAATATATAATATATATATTATATAACAATTTATATATTAAAATATATATAACATATATTTATATATTGTTATATATAAAAATATAACTATATATTAAAAAAGAAATGAAATCCTATCAGCAGCAACAGCATAGATGAACTGATTAACTGGAGGCCTTTATCTTAAATGAGACAAGTCAGACACAGAAAGATAAACACTGGATGTAGTTACTTATAAATGGGATATAAATACTGTGCACACAGAGATGTAGAGTGTGGAATGATAGACAATAGAGATTTGGATGGGTGAGGAGGTGAGAGGGGTAGATAGTGAGAGAATATTTAATGGATACAATATACATTATTTGGGTGATGGATACCCTAAAAGCTCTGAGTTCACCACTACACAATCTATGCATAGAACAAAATTATGTACATTTATATGCCAAAAAGACAAGCTACAGACCTGGAAAATGTGATAATGGACTGATATCTAGACTATATAAATAACTCAAAAGCCAACATTTAAAAAATACAATTAAAGAATAGCCAAAACATTAAGAGGCATTTCACTGAAAAGGACATAGACATGGCAAAAACAAAATGAAACAAAATAAAAATACATTAAAATATTTACATCATCACTACCCATTAGAAAAATGCAAATTAAGAACATCATCAGATACTATTACATACTTAATAGAGCAGCTGAGTTTTTTAAATGTGACATGAACACATGCATGACAAAATCACACACACACACACACACACACACACACACACACACACACACACACACTGTACCCATGTCAATGTCCTGGTTTTGATAAGTTTATGACCACTGGGGAAAACTGGATGAATGACACATGAGTTCCCTGATCTTTGGCATTTTCTAGTGTTTCAATTTTTTTTTATTTTTAAGTATAAAATATGGAAAATAAAAATAATCTATTAATATAATAATAATTTTGGAAGTTAATTTTATTGCAGGTAACATCCAATAATATTGTGAATATTATTTTAATTTATTTAAATGCTCAGATACTAAAGATATTTATTTTTGTTTTGAGACTAACAAGAATATAAAGTCACAATAGTAATGACATGGAATCAACCTAAATGCCCATCAGTAATACACTGGATAAAGAAAATATGGTACATATACACCATGGAATACTATGCAGCCATACAAAAGAATGAGATCATGTAATTGCAGGGATATGGATGGAGCTGGAAGCTGTTATCCTCATCAAACTAAAGCAGGAACAGAAAACCAAACACTGAATGTTCTTTTATAAGTGGGAGCTAAATGATGAGAACACATGGACACATGTGGGGAAACAACACACACTGGGTTCTGTCAGAGGGTGGAGGATGAGAAGAGGAAGAGGATCAGGAAGAAAAGCTAATGGATGCTGGCCTTAATACTTGGGTGATGGGATGATCTGAGCAGCAAACCACCATGGCACATGTTTACCTATGTAACAGACCTGCATGTCCTGTACATGTACCCCTGAACTTAAAATAAAAGTAGGAGATTTTTAAAAAGTGTATATATACATATATATTTAATTTCCAACTTTTATTTTTAACTACTTCTACTTAAAAGTTATTGACAAAACTGGTTGTTTTTCTAAAAACAAGTACATCAGCACACAAGGCAAAATTATATTCTCATTGATTAAAAACAGCATAAGTAAAATTATATGTAATATATTATGTATATTATATACATAATTTTACATATATAATATACATAATACATATATATAATGGCCTCTAGAAAGATTCCATTGAAAATGTTCACAATTTTAAATGTGTTAACCATAAAATGCAATTTTGAAAAAATCATAGGCAATGTAATGAAAATATTAAGATGATATTGAAAAATATATTGCTCTAAAATATCAGAAATATAGCATTAGAAGGAGAGACACCTAAGAAAATAAAGCACATGAGAATCTATCAAGAGCAATTATTTTACTTATGCAATTTTTAATCATTGAGAATTTGTCTTGTGTGCTGTTATATTTGTTTAGAAAAACATCTAGTTTTGTCAATAACTTGTAAGTAGTTTTAGTTATATCAAAATAATACAATCAAACTTATTAATTTTTCATTTCATGTCTTATTTAATGCTATTTACATCATGCTTGTCATATTTTACAGATACGTAACTGAGGTTATAATAAGTTACATAACTTAATAGAAGGCACAGAGATAAAAGATTTAGAGGAGTCATACACAACACACACTGATGTTTGTAAACCTCTAAGACTTTCTAGTTTTCCAGGTTACCAGTCTGTATATATTTATATATATATTTTTTCGTTTCAGTTGCTTTTTGGTATGAGGGGACAGTTACATGGATGAATTGTATAGTGGTGATGTCTGAGATTTACTCCACCCATCACTTGAGTAGTGTTCATTGTACCCAATATGTGGCTTTTAATCCCTCACTCCCCCTCTCACCTTCCCCATTTCTGAATCTCCAATTTCCATGATACCACTCTGTATGTCTTTGCATACCACTTAAAAGTGAGAACATATAGTATCTGTTTTTCCATTCCTGAGTTACTTCACTTAGAATAATGGCCTCCTCCATTCAAGTTGCTGCAAAAGACATTATTTCATTCTTTTTTATGGCTGAGTAGCATTCCATGGTGTATACATTATCCACTCACTGATTGATGTTCACTTAGGTTGGTTCCATATCTTTGAAATAATGAATTGTGCTGGAGTAAACATATGTGTGCAGAATTCTTTTTGATATAATAATTTCTTTTTTGGGGGATAATCAACAGTGGGTTTGGTAGATCTACTTTTACTTCTTTGAGAAATCCCCATACTGCTTTTCCATAGTAGTTGTACTAATTTAGATTCCCACCGGCAGTATGTACATATACTCCTGAGCTTGAAATAAGTTCCCTTTTCACCACATGCACACATTTTTTTTTTTTTTAGTTTTTTAATAATGACCATTCTGGCTGGGATAAAGTGGTATCTCATTATAATTTTTTGTTTGTTTTTTTGTTTTTGTTTTTGTTTTTGTTTTGAGACGGAGTCTCGCTCTGTCGCCCAGGCTGGAGTGCAGTGGGGTGATCTCGGCTCACTGCAAGCTTCGCCTCCCGGGTTCACGCCACTCCCTTCCCTCAGCCTCCCGAGTAGCTGGGACTACAGACACCTGCCACCATGCCCGGCTAATTTTTTGTATTTTTAGTAGAGAAGCGGTTTCACAGTGTTAGCCAGGATGGTGTTGATCTCCTGACCTCGTGATCCACCTGCCTTGGCCTCCCAAAGTGCTGGGATTATCATTATAGTTTTAATTTGCATTTCCGTGTTGATTAGTGATGTTTAGCATTTTTCATGTTTGTTGGCCATTTGTATATCTTCTTTTGAGAAAGGCCTATTTGTGTAATTTGCCTACTTTATGGTGGGATTATTTGTTTTTATCTTGCTGATTTGTTTGAGTTCCTTGTATATTTTGGATATTAGTCCTTTGTCAGATGCATGGTTTACAAATATTTTCTCCCCTTCTTTAGGTTGTCTGTTTGTTCTGATGATTACTTCTTTTTCTGTGCAGAAGCTTTTTAGTTTAATGATGTCCCATTTATTTATCTTTGTTGCATTTGCTTTTGGGGTCTTAGTCATAATTTCTTTGCCTAGGGCAATGTCCAGAAGAGTTTTTCCTAAGCTTTCTTCTAGAATTTTTATGGTTTCAGGTGTTAAATTTAAGTCTTTGATCCATCTTGAGTTGATTTTTGTATATGGTGAGAGAGATAGGGATGCAGTTTCCTTCTTCCACATGTGGCTATCCAGTATTCCCAGCGTCATTCATTGAATAGAGGGTCCTTCCCCCAATTTATGTTTTTGTGTGCTTTGCTGAAGATCAGTTGGTGGTATTTGGCTTTATTTCTGGGTTCTCTAGTATATTCCATTGGTCTATGTATCTACTTTTATACCAGTACAATGCTATTTTGGTTAGTAAAGTTTGTAGTGTGGTTTGAAGTCAGGTCATGTAGCGTCTCCAGATATGTTATTTTGCTTAAGAATGCTGATATGTTTCTGTATCCTCCCAAATCTCATGTGAAATTGTAATCCTCAGTGTTGGAGGTGGGGCCTCGTGGAAGGTGATTAGATCACGGAGGTGGTTTCTCATGGCTTAACACCATCCTCCTAGTGCTGTTCTCGTGGTAGAGTTCTCAGGAGATCTGGTTGTTTAAAAGTGTGTAGCACCTCCCCTGCTCTCTCTTTCTCCTGCTCCGTCCATGTAAGACATGCCTGCTTTTCCTTTGCCTTCCACCATGATTGAAAGTTTTCTGAGGTTTCCCAGAAGCTGTCATGCTTCCTGTACAGCCTGTGGAACCGTAAGCCAATTAAATCTCTTCTTTATAAATCATCCAGTCTCAGGTATTCTTTTATAGCAGTGCAAGAATGGACTAATAAAATTGCTTTGGCTATTCAGGCTCTTCTTTGGTTCCATGTGAATTTTAGGATTACTTTTTTCTAATTCTGTGAAAACTGATCTTGGTATTTTGATAGGAATTGCTTGAATATGTAGATTGCTTTCGGCAGTATGGTAATTTTCACAATGTTGATTCTTCCATCCATGAGCATGGGATGAATTTCCAGTTTTTTCTGCTATCTAGGATTTAGTGTTCTGTAGTTTTTCTTGTAAAGAGCTTTCACCTCCTTGGGTAGGTATATTCTTAATTATTTTATTTTATTTTTGCAGCTGTTGTAACAGGGATTGAGATCTCGATTTGATTCTCAGCTTGGTCATTGTTGGTGTATAGCCATGCTACTAATTTGTGTACATTGATTTTGTAACCTGAGACTTTACATAATTCACTGGTCAAATGTAGGAGTCTTCTAGAGGAGCCTTTTAGGGTTTTTTAGGTATATGATTATAACATTGGTAGACAGAGTTAGCTTGACTTTCTATTTTCCAATTTGGATTTCCTTTATTTATGTCTTTTGCCTGATTGCTGTGGCTAGGACTTCCAGCACTATGTTGAATAGAAGTAGTGAAAGTATCCTTCTTTGTCTTTTTCCAGTTCTTGGGGAATGCTTTCAGCTTTTTACCCATTCAGTATGATGCTCTCTGTGGGTTTGTCATATATAGCTTTTATTATTTTCAGGTATGTTCCTTCTGTGCCTAGTTTGTTGAATTTTTTTATTATAAAGAGATGCTGGATTTTATTGCTTTTTTCAGCATCTGTAGAGATTATTATTTTCAATTTTTTATGTGGTGAATCACATTTATGGATATGCATATAGTGATCCATCCCTCCTGCATCCCTGAGGTGAAACCTTCTGATCATGGGTGAATTATCTTTTTGATGTGTTATTGGATTCTATTTGCTAGTATTTTGCTGAGGATTTTTGCGTCTGTGCTCTCAATACTTTGCAATAGTTTCAGCAGCATTGGTATCAATTGTTGTTTGAATATCTGGTAGAATTTGGTTGTGAATTCCTGTGGCCTTGGGTTTTCTTTGGCAGTTTTTTAAAATTAGTGACTCAATCTCACTGATGGATATTGGTCTAGTCAGGATTTCTATTTCATCTTGATTCAAGCTAGTAGGGTTGTGTGTTTCCAGGAATTTATCCATTTCTTCCAGATTTTCTAGTTTGTGTGCATAGAAGTGTTCATAGTAGTCTTGGATGATCTTTTATATTTCTGTGATGTCAGGTGTAATATTTTCATTTTTATTTCTAAAACTTCTTTTAATCTTGTCTCTTCTTGGCTAATGGAACTAATGGTCTATTAGTTTTGTTAATCTTTTCAAAGAACCAAGTTTTCATTTCATTGATCATTTTAATATTTTTGTTTCAATTTCATTTAAACCTGCTCCGATCTTTGTTGTTTCTTTCCTTCTGCTTGCTTTGGGTTTGGTTTGTTCTTATTTCTCTAGTTCGTTGAGGTTGAGATTTAAATTGTCAATTTGTGGTCTTTCAGTCTTTTTGATGTAGGCATTTGGTGCTATAAACTTTCCTCTCAGCGCTGCATTTGCTGTATCCCAGAGGTTTTGATAATTTGTATTACTATTATCATTCATTTTGAAGAATTTTTAAATTTTCATCTTGAGTTTATTGTTAACCCCAAAATCATTCAGGATCAGATTGTTTAAAATTCTTGTATTTCTATAGTTTTGAGGGTTCCTTTTGGAGTTGATTTTTAGTTTTACTCCACTGTGTCTGAGAAGATACTTGATATAATTTTGATTTTTAAAAAATTTATTGAGACTTATTTTGTGGCCTATCATATTATCTGTCTTGGAGAATGTTCTATGTGTTGATGAGAAGAATATAGTTCTTGGGTAGAATAGTTTGTAAATATGTGTTAGGTCCATTTGTTCTAGAGTATGGTTTAAGTCCTATGTTTCTTTGTTGACTTTCTGCCTTGAAATCTGTCTAGTGCTGTCAGGGGAGCGTTGAAGTCATCCACTATTATTGTGTTGCTGTCTATCTCTTTTCATAGGACTAGTAGTCATTGTTTTATGAATGTGGGAGCACCAAAGTTAGATTATATATATATGCATATATATTTAGGATTATAATATCTTCTTGTTGGATTGATCCTTTTGTTCTCACACTGCTGATAAAGACATACCCGAGACTGGGTAATTTGTAAAGTAAAAAGGTTTAATGGATTCACAGCTCCACATGGCTGGGGAGACCTCACAATCATGGCAGAAGATGAAGGAAGAGCAAAGGGACATCTTACATGTCAGCAGGCAAGAGAGCTTGGGCAAGGGAACTCCCGCAGAAGATCTCATGAGATTTATTCACTTCAATGAGAACAGTATGGGGGAAACTGCCCCCATGATTCAATTATCTCCACCTGACCCCACCTTTGACAGATGGGGATTATTACCATATTTAGGTGGGGACACAGTCAAACCATATCAACATCCTTTTGTCTTTTAAAACTGTTTTTGCTTAAAAGTCTATTTTATCTAAGAATAGCACCTCCTGCTTGCCTTTAGTTTCTATTTGTCTGGAATGTCTTTTCCACCCCTTTGCCTTGAATCTATAAGAATCTTTACATGTTAGGTGAGTCTCTAGAAGACAGCAGATGTTTGGTTTGTGATTTTTTTTTATCCATTCTGCAAATCTGTGTCTTCTAAGTGGTGTATTTAGACCATTTATATTCAACATTAATATTGAGATGTGAGATACTGTTCCAGTCATGCTGATTGTCACAAAGATACTTTGTATTCTTCATTGTGTTACTGTTTTATAGGTCCTATGCATTGTATGCTTTCAAGAGGTCCTATTCTGGTGTATATTGACATTTTGTTTTAAGATGTACAACTCCTTTTAGCATTTCTTCTAGGGCTGATCTAGTAGTAACAAATTCCCTTAGCATTTGGTTGTCTGAAAAAGACTTTACTTATCCTTCATTTATAAAACTTAGTTTTGCTGGCTATGAAATTCTTGGCAGAGTTATTCTTTATAAAGAGACTAAAGATGAATGTCAACACTTCTTGTTTGCAAGGTTTCTGCTGAGAAAGTTAAACTTTTTAGTCATTAAATATCAATTTTAATAATTATATAATTTTGATTATTTTAGTGCCCCCTTTTCTCACTCAACATTATTTCAGTTTGAGCAATAAGTTGTATGGTCATGCAATAGTATGATCACAAAAAACACACCAATAATGAAAGTTTAAAAGACCAAACTCACATATTTTAGAATATTGAAAAAAAATGAGAGTCCCCTTTTTTACAAAATTGCAGTATACATGTATACACAAAGAGAGGATATATAGATGGATAGATAAATAAACATGTATGTCTTGATAGATGATAGACTGATAGATTTAGATGATGAATTGATAGACTGATAGATCAATAGATAG
This sequence comes from Homo sapiens, assembly GCF_000001405.40. Lineage (NCBI taxonomy): Eukaryota > Metazoa > Chordata > Mammalia > Primates > Hominidae > Homo > Homo sapiens. The sequence continues at coordinate 39,628,425 of NC_000008.11, forward strand.
ATAGATAGATAGATAGATAGATAGATAGATAGATAAACAACAATAGATATATGAGATGAGGCATACTTTACTTTCCCATGGAAATATAAACCAACCTATTTAAACAGAGACTCTATCCAGTAAGTTTGGGTTATTTGTTTGCTTGTTTACTTATTTTAACTCAGACTATTCTATTGCAGATTCAACACCCTCTTTACTCTTGTATTTTGTGGCCTGTAAATATGCTTAGATCAAAGAAGAAATTTCTCTGAAGTTTCTATATGTGAGAAGGCACTTCAGCTTGTTAGAAATAAAGCTCATGTAAAATTATCAATAAAGTGTTAAATGAGGATGTAATAATTGATGATTTATAGGTGATAATCATATGAGTACACAGGGAAGAACAGAATGTAAAATATCAGAAATAATTCAATAGGTCCAGAGCATAGGCTTTGTGTGTCATTTGATATAAAGCAATAATTATTGATTGTGCTAACATAATAACCTATAAATCATCAATTATTAATAGACAAATCACAATATTTACCTGAATTTCAGTGGAGACTATGAGTTCTCAAATATTTCCTATATCTTTATGAATGGACAATTTTCAGTATGCCACAGTTAGTGTTGCTATAGTCCTTCATAAGACAGTCAGTGAAAAATGTTCAAAGTGTAGAGTTGTCTGCAGATGAAGACAGCATAAGGTGTATTTTTATGTTTATGTTTTTTTTTTCTCATTCAGCATTAACAGAGACTAGACCCTTACATTACTCTGGCAGGTTCATTGTAAATATTTTAAGCTTGGAATATGTTTTGAAGTAAAATTTTCTACATCAGAATTAATTTTTATACTTAAGTCCTCATGAAAATCTTATATGCAATTTTTCGCTGTCTTTACATGTCATCTTTTTCTCTTAAATTCAATACATGTTAACATTTTATAAATCCCGTTGTTGTTGTTTTCCAGATAAAAAATCTTTCAAAACTATTACCCCAATATCTGGAAATATACATTATAGTGGAAAAAGCTTTGGTAAGTATGCTTTCAAGAGGTCTTTCAAGAAGGAACTAAGTATGCTTTCAAGAAAGAACTTTCCTTCTTGCATTCCTGTCTTCTTCCTTTTCTCTCTTCCTCCTTCTTTCCCTTCCTCCATTGTCTCCTTATTTTCTCCCTCTCCTCTCTTTTCCTCCCCTCCCCTCTGTCTTCCCTTTCCTTCCTCTACCCCTCCTTCACTCACTCCCTTTGTTTTCCTCCCTCCCTCCCTTCTTTCCTTGCTTCCTTCCTTCCTCTTTCTTTCACTCTTTCTTTCTTTTTATAACTTAGTGAAAGTTTTGTTTTAATTTTAAAGACATAATACAATTTTCTTAATATTTTAAAATAAAAGATATTTTATTTTAGGGGTGTTAGATAAATCAACATTTGTGACCTTTTACAACCAATTATGAGTAACAGCCCAAACTAGCCTAGAATGCCCTACACTATCGCTTCCTCCACTCCAGCTCAGTCAGTATCTCTTTGACTTTAACTCCTAATGGGCCATCCTTTCTCTTAATCTGCTCCATCCTTTCTGGTCACATTGTTTTATTGAATGCATATTTTTACCATCTTATAAAGCATATTCACTTGATATTTTCTCTTTTGCAAAGTTTTCAACTAATTCAGTTTGTTGCCTTAATGTCATTTTAAAACCTTTATTGCTAACAAAAATTTCACTTCAATAATAGTAGTGTTTATATTTTTTGTTTATTATTCTTAAAATATGTTTCAGCATAGTTTTTGAATAAATACACTTCTGGTTTTAAATGTATATTTATTTTTAAAATTAGTACTATTATATATTTACTAAATGCAAAACACAGACTAATCACTGGAAATTCTACTTTCAAGAATTCATATTTTAATGGAAAAGACAGATATGCAACCAAATAATTATGAGGCACTACGTACATTATGTATGTGTGTATATAAGTTATATATATACTTATATATCTATATATATACTCACAAAGTAACAGGATAGAATTGAGAAAGATGTAGGAATTGTTAAGGAAAGTCTTCATAGAATAGATTTTTAGATGAATGACTAGCATTTAGCAGATAAATATAATACAATCAGGTAGATCCAAAAGTGTAAATTGTAGATTATACATTCTATAGCATCTAGGTTATTTTGTTAATATAATGTCTTTAAGATTTATTCACATTGTTGCCCATAACAGTAGTTTATTTCTTGTATACTAACGTGAAGAATACCACAATTTGGTGCTATTATGAATAAAATTGTTATCACCAATCTTGCTCATGTCTTTTGGTAGACATAATTTCTTTTGGTATCTGCCTAGGAGTGAAATTGTTATATCATGGGATTGGTATGTTACCTTTGGACAATATTGGTAAACAGTTGAAAAGTTATTATAGTAATTTCGTATTCTATCAGCATTGTATGAAAGGTCCAGGAATTCTGTATCATTACAAACAATTACAATTGATAAACTTTTAAAAATCTTAGCCATTTTAGTGGATATATAGTGATATCATATGGTGGTTTTTAGGTGCATTTAACACATGATTGAGTTTGAGCATATTTTCATACCATTGTTTACTATTTGGATTTTTTGAAGAGTAAATGTATAAGTTTTTACCCATTTTAATAGTTTCCTTACTATTTTGTGGGGATTCCTTATATATTCCAAATATGAGGACTTTTTCAGATAGCTGTATTAAGGCTATTTTCTCGTAGTCTGTGGCTTAATTTTAAACTCATTTAATGATGTCTTTTGATAGACATGCATTCTGAACCACAGTTAATTTAAGTCCAATTTATGTTTTCTTAATTTCCTTTTGTTTTTAAGAAATATTTTCTTATTCCAAGGACATAATTTTACTTTCTTCCATATCATTTTATGTATTTTTCTTTACCTTTTAAAATAAGTTTTATGGTATATTTTTAATTGAGCAATGTGTACGCTGTGAGGCAGGGTTCTCTTTTTTCCATATAGACATCCATTCGCTCCATCTCCACTTACGGAAAATGTCTCTTACTCCATTCAGTTGTGTTAGCAATTTTTAAAAATTATGTAGTATAATTGTGTGTGGCCTATTCCTTAGGTTGCTGTTCACTTCCATTGCCCTATTTCTGTTTTATTGAATCAATAATTCACTGTGTTCATTACTGTAGCTTTATTGTTATATAATTTATTTGGTTTTGTCCTTTTTCTAATCTTAATTATTGCTTTGACTATTCTGGGCCCCTTTTATTTAAATCCATTTTGGAATCACCCTCTAAAATTTTCCAAAAATACTGTAATTTTGATTTTGGAATTACATTGAATGGTTAGCTCACTTTGGAAAGAATTGTGATCTTAACAATATTGAGTCATCCAATCTCTGAATAAGGAGAACCCCCTCACATTCGTCTTTACATTTTTTGTTAATTCCTTTCGTCAGTGTTCTATGGTGTTCTTGAACATCTTTGTTAGTTTTATTGTTATGCATTTGATGATTTTGTGATGCCCTAGTAAATGGTATTCTTAATTTAACATTTAAGTATTTTTGCCCTGGTTTCTGAAAACATAGTTGACACACAATTTATCTTATATCCTGTTATTTTTTGCATAATTTACTTGTTAATTCTTGTGTTTCATTTTTGGTAGATTTTTTAATGTTCTATGTACACAATCATATTATTTATGAATTTTAATTTTTTTAATTTCAAATTTTAATTTTTAATTTTTTTCTTTATCAATTTTTACTCCGTTTTGCATTTATGTATACATGTATTTAGTAATTTACCTATTTATTTTACTTTTATTTCATTTTATTGTTTTATTGTCCTTGCTTGACTCTGCAGTACAATGTTAAATAGACTGATGTGTATATTCCTAAATTTTCCCCTAACTTGCAGATTAACCATTCTTGCTAAGTTTCATGTTAGCTCTTAGTTTTTGGTAGGTGATCTTTATAATATTGGGAAGGCTCCCTTATATTCCCTGTTTTCCAAGATTTTTGTCATGGATAGCTGTTTTTCATCAAATTTTTTTTCTGCTCTTACAGAGATAATCAATGGATATAGAGAACCATACTTGTGTTTCTAAAATACACCCTACTTATCACATTTTAATCAATTTTTACAAGTAACCTGATCTTTTATTTAATATTTTGTTTTTGATTTTAGGATTTATGTTCATGAAATAATGGTATGCTATATTCCTTTCTTATAATGATTTTTCTTCTTGTTATCAAGATTATCCTAGCCTCATCAAATAAGTTAGTGAGTTTTCTTCTTCTTATAGTCTCTTCGAGAATTTAGATATTATGAGTATGACCCCTTCCACATATAGTTGGAAGAATTTACTCTGAAACCCTGTAGACCTTAAGTTTTCTTTGAGGAAATATTTTAAAGTACACATTAAATTTCTTTACATATGATATACATAGGGAAGTTGAGATTTTCTTTAAACTTGTTTTACTTTCTACAAGTTAGATTGCTATGGTTTGAATGTGTCCCCTTCATAATTCATGTATTGAAACATAATGGCCAATGTTATGACTTTAAGGCATGAGGCAATTCTGTCATGAAAGCTCCTTCCCTCATGTATGGGATTAAGTCTCTTATAAAAGAGACTTCATGCAGCATTCTGTAGCTTGCCTTTCTGCTTTCCTCTCCACGAGGACATAGCAAAAAGGTCCTCACCAGACCTGTTTGTGGAGCCTTGATGTGAGACTTCTCAGCCTCTAGGACTATGAACAATAAATTTGTGTTCTTTACAAACTACCCAATCTGTCATATTCTGTCATAGCAGCACAAATGGACCAAGACAGAAATTGGTATCAGGAGTGGGTGTTGCCATTGCAAATGCCTAAAAATGTGGAAATAGTTTTGGTACCTGGCAATGGGTTGAAGCGGGAGCTGTTTTGAAGCAAATAATGGAAAAAGCTTGTATTACTGCAAATGGAGAATGAAGGGTGATTCTGATGAGAGCTCATAAGAAGAGAAGTAGGGAAGTTGTGAATCTTTTTAGAGATTAGTGGTTATGAACAGTTTTTAGAAATTACTTAAGTGGTCATGAACAGAATGCTGGTAGAAATATGGACAGTAAAGGCTGTTCTTATGAGAGCTCAGATGGAAGTGAGGTCCAAGGTATTGGAAATTGGGAGAAAGGCCACTCTTGTTAGAAAGTGGCCAATCACTTGGCTGAATTATGCCCATGCCATAGAACTTTATGGAAGTCAGAACTTAAGAATGATGAACTCAGATATTTGGCAAAAGAAATCTCTAAACAGCAAGGTGTTCAGGATGCTGCATGGCTTTTCCTACTTATTTATAGTAAAATTTGAGACAAGATAAATGGTTTAAATATGGATTTTATAATTAAAATGGAAGAAGAATGTAAAGATTTGAAAAACTCTCAGCCTTGCCCTGTAAAAAAAAAAAAAGGTGGGGGATGGGGGGTTGGGGGAAGTATGTATGGGAGAGAATAGCAAGAGTGTGTCAAGTGACCTTTAAAGAAAATTGTGTGGATAGAGCAAGTCAGCTGCTATTTATCAACACAAGAGCAGAATAACCCCAAAGACATTTTGGAGATCTTCAAGGCTGCCTTCCCATTACAAGCCCAGAGTGCTGGGGATTTGTAAGCAAGACAGGTTAAAGAGAGAAGCCAGAATGCTTATAGGACCTTGAGACTTGCACACCAGGGCCACCTCAGGTCTAAGATCCTTTCATCACAGCCAGGCACTTCTCTGCTGCCCTGGCTTTAGCTCAGCTGGGCCCAGGTACATCTCAGACTGTGGTTTCAAAGGGTGCAGACTGTGAACCTTGGCTGTGTCCACCTGGTGCTAACTCTCCAGGCTCACAGAGTGCAAGAGCTGTGGTGGCATGGCTACTTCCACCTATAAGTCAAAGGATGCCTCAGAGAGACCCCACTAAGGCAATGCCCAGTGGAGACATAGGTGCTGGGCCACCCACAACACCCCAGAACTATAGAGCCACCAGGAAGGAACACCTGGGAAAGCTGCATGCATGCATTTTCGATGTGTGAGAGCTGAAACATGGGCTGCACACAGCAAAGCTATTAGGGTGGTGCCACTCAAAGCCTTTGGGGCTCAAATCCCACCCCAATGTGTCTCATGGGTGGGTCATGGAGTCAAAGAGGATCACTTGCAGGCCTTAAGATTTAATATTGTTTGCTCTGTTGGGTTTTCATTGGCTTGGGACCTGCTATTCCCTTCTTCTTGACTCTTTCTTCTTTCTGAAATGGGAATGTCTGTTCTATGTCTGTCCCACCATTGTATCTTGGAATCATATAACTTGTTCAATTTCATAGACTCACAGCTGGAAATGAATTTGCCCCAGAATAAATCTTGCCTTGAGTCTTACTCATATAATGTTTAGGTGAGATTTTGAAATTAGATTTTAAAGTTGATGATAGAACAAGTTAGGATTTTTTAGGACTATTTGGATGGGATGAAGGTATTTTGTACGTGAGAATGACATGAATTTTGGGAAACTAGGGGTGGAATGTTAGGGTTTGAATATGTTCCTTCCAAAATTCAGGTATTAAAACTTAATGGCCAATGTGATGGTATTAAGGAATGGGACCATTTAGAGGTGATTAGTGCACAAGAACTTCTTCCCTTACAGATGAGATTAAGGCCCTTATAAAAGCACTGTGTAGCTTTCTCTTCTGCCTTCTGCCATGTGAGGATACAGCAAGAAGGCCCTCACCAGACCAGATGCTAGCAACTTGTTCTTGGACTTCTCCACTCCCAGAAATGTGAGGAAATAGATTTCTCTTTTTTATAATACCCAGTCTGTGTTATTCTTTTGTAGCAGGGCAAATGGACTAAGGCATAGGTTTTCAAGTAGATTTTTAAAATGATCTAAATTATCAAATTTCTTAGAATGAATTTGTAACACATTCTTTTATCTTTTAAAAATTGGTATATTTGTAGTATCAGCATTTCTAATGTTCACTAATGATATTGGTGAGATATCCCTCTTTGCTCTTTAGCTGCATTTTATTATTTTAAACTTATTATTTTGAAAGAACTTTAGACTTACATGAAAGTTAAGAAACAGTAAAGATTCTTTTCACAACTTCTCCTAAGTTAACTTCTTATATAATCATAATATAGTAATCAAAACATAAAAGTTAATGTTTCTACATTATTAACAACTATTATAAAATTTTTGACATTTTTCCCACAAGTGTCTTTTTCCTAATTCAGTCCTCAATTATAAGATCCTACATTCCATTGAGTTGACATGTTTCTTTTTTCTACTCCAATCTGTGGCATTACTATGATCTTTGTCTTTCATGTACCTTGGCACAATTGGAGAATACGTGCCAGTTATTTTCTAGAAATGTTTCTCAGTTTGGACTTGCCTGAGTTTTCTCGTGGTTACATTGAGAATCCGTTTTATGTTTGACAAGAATATCCAAAAAAGACCTTTTCTTGTTAAGCTGTTGTTAAAGCAGTGTTGGTTTCATAAAACTAATTACAATGTCTGCCCTTTTCCTACATTCTGAATGATTTTTGTACAAATGCCTTTACTTATTCTTTACTTATTATTTAAATATCTGTAACCATTAAGTTTTTTTGTTTTTTTTTTTTTGAGAGAGAGAGAGAGAGAGGGGGCCTCACTCTCTCATGCAGCCTGGAGTGCAGTGACAAAATCATAGCTCACCGCAATCTCGAACTTCTGGCCTCAACCAATTCTTCTGCCTCATCCTTCCAAGTAGCTGGGACTACAGGCATGCACCACAATGCCTGGATAATTTTTTTAAAATTTTTTAAAGAGATGAAGTCTCACCATGTTGTCCACGCCTCAGTCTCCCAAAGTGTTGGGGTTATAGGCGTGAGTCACTGCACCTGTCCAACAATTAACCCTTATATTTCTTTATTAACCTGATATTTTAATGGGAAGGTTTAAAATTACAGAATCCACTTTAATAGTTATATGATTATATATTCTTTGAACTTTATCTTTGGCCATTTTGGCAAATGCCATTTTAAATAATATTTTCAAGTGTATTAAAATGTAATAAGTTATTGACATCAGTACTTTCATACTTTATTATCATCCTTTGATATTATAATCCTCTTTCATTCCTGATGTTGGCAATTTATATCTTCTCTCTAACCTTTTATTCTTTTTAAAAGTATATATGTTTAAGATGTATACATCATAATGTTTTTATATACATAGTGTTACATTTTAATGGTAAAAGTACCTAAAATCTACTCTTTTAGCTAATTTTCAGTATATAAAACAATATTGTTAATTGTAGTTCTCGCTTTGTACATTAGGTCTCTAGACTTACTTATTCTACATAACCCAAACTTTGTATCCTATGAATGCCGTTTCCACATTTCTCCCCACACTCAGCCCTCTGCCCCTTGACAACCACCTTTTCACTTTGTTTCCATGTATTTGAATATATTTGTTTTGTTTTGTTTAGATACCACATATAAGTGAGATCATGTAGTATTTTCTTTTCTGTATCTGGCTTATTTCACTTAGCATAATGTCCTCCAGATTCATCCATGTTTTCACAAATGACAGGACAACCATATTCAAGGCTTAATAATATTTCCGCATGTGTGTATTTTATATATATATATATATATATATATATATATATATATATATATATATGTATATACATAATATATAATCCATAAAATCTTGTCTCATATAAAATAGTGTAGAATTTGCTCAAATCTGCACACATTCTCCTATGTACTTTAAAACAGCTCTAGATTACTTATAATATCTAATACAATGCCTAAATATCATTTCATTCACATGGATTCAAAATAATACTTTCATGAAAAATAAAATTTCTTTTTCAGTATGATTATATGGGATCTGAAATGATGGCTGTAACACAAAAAATTGTCCAGGTTATTGGGCTTGTCAACACTGTAAGTTTTTACTTTTTCACATTTCCATTTTCATGAAAGTTTCTTTAATATAATTTGGGTTCTATCTTGGCCAATGAATAACTTAAATACTTTTTATTAGTTTAATACTGAAAATACTGGAACATGTTGTTTATTTTTTAATGTACCTTTTAAATGTAATAACTTGTTTCTTTAAAAATGTACAATACATCTTATTTTTAGATGTTTACCCAGTTCAAATTGACTGTTATACTGTCTTCCTTGGAATTGTGGTCAAATGAAAACCAGATTTCCACCAGTGGGGATGCTGATGATATATTACAAAGATTTTTGGCATGGAAACGGGACTATCTCATCCTACGGCCCCATGACATAGCATACTTACTTGTGTAAGCACAATGTTCTACATTAATAAAGATATCTGCATAATTATTTTAAATTGGTAATTTAGTGAATTTATTGCGTTCTTCAGTTTTTTGTAAGCCCCTTTGGAAGTGTTTAAAAATTAGTAGCCTTTGTCATAGAGGTGCTAGTGTACTTAAAAATATAATAAAAGTAACAATAATCAGTTTTGTATTAGAATAGTTTGGAGTGTAAGTATTATTTCAAAAACCTGCATTTCATGAACTTCTGTAATGTTGACTTTGCTACAGAAAACATATAATCCTTAGTTTATGAATGATGTAAAAACGGAGACTATTCAGTTAAAATTATTCATGATAAATTAATACATTTCATGTCTACTTTTTACTAGGAGGGATTTGGGTTTTTTTTAATATTTAATATTTAAAAATGCTTATCTTTAGGACTAGTAAGATTGCTTCTTCCACAAATTAAAAATTATTTTCTCTTTAACTTTTGATAACCAAACTAAGTTGAATTTGAGCTAATAAAATTATATCCATTTTAGGAGATATACAAGGAAATTACATTGGTATTAAAGTGAATTGATTAAAGTCAATGATTTTAGTATTTAGATTTAGTATTTAGTATTTAGTATTTTGTAATGTTTATTAGATATTACCTAGTTTGAAGCTTTATATATTTGCAAAGTCATTTTTAAAATTTTATGTGAAGAAGGTTTAATTTAATACATAAGCTTACAAATTGTTTTGCATAACTACGTTAATAAAAAATTATAATAATGTAGTTACAGGAAACATCCTAAATATGTGGGAGCAACATTTCCTGGCACTGTATGCAATAAAAGCTATGATGCAGGTATTGCTATGGTATGTAATTTTTATTCTTCTTTACATCACTATTTTTAGGCCTTATATTATATTTTGTAAGTATTAATTTAAGTAGTTAAATAGTGTAAAACCATTTGATCTTTTTCTGTATATGTATATTCATTATTATTTTATTGGGACAAAATTAATAGAATCTCAGAAAGTTTATTTATTTATAAAGTTCAAACACAAAGAATATTATGTGAACAAACCTTAGTGTAATCACTCACCAACTGGTCATAATGGACACGAACATTTGCTTTAGATTTTTAAATAAACAAAGCATTAGAGCAATGTTAAAGCCTCCTGCACATTTCCTCCAAGTTCAATAAATAGCAAAAATCATGAATTTGTGCTTGCAATTTTACACATACTTTATGCTATTTTAATAAATATATGAATGCATAAATAATATATATTGTTTTTAGATATTGAAAATTTGTATATTGATAAAACTGTTTCCTGCAAAATTTACAACCCTTAAATCATCTTTCTCAATTAGAAAATTTCTTCTTTGTAACCATATAACTCCATGTTAATTTCTTTTCAAAGAAAAGTTTTGTTGAAGTACAAAATATAGTATATAGATAAAATTCCACAAGTCAAAGTTTATAGCACAATTAATTTTTATCGAGTTTATGCATAGGTATAAACACCACAAAGATCAAAAAATAGAATATTATCAACACTTCAGAAGGTACTTGTGAATCATGCGTCCTCCCACCTATTACCCATACCAAAGGAAACCACTATCCAATTGCCTTTGTTTAATTTTACTTCTTTTTGAAGTTTATGTAAGCAGAACACAGTGTGTATTCTTCCCTGCTCTATTTTGCTCAATATTATGTCTATAGCAATCATTTATGTTCTTATGAGTAGGAATAGTTTGTTCATTCTTTTACCACGTATTTCTTAAAAATACGCCCATGAAGTTTCCTGACTCTTCAAATGTGAGTATTATCTATTGACTTCCTATTATTGAAGTTAGAATGTAACATCTTAATAGTTCATCATATCCATATTTCGACTGCTTCATTCCCCCTCTATAATTATATAACTCATTTGAATTGTGTCTTATTCCCTAATGAGCCAAGTAATGAACTAAGATTTTAATCTTAGTTCAATTGCCTTGATTGTGTGCCTTTTTGTTCTTCCTAAATTTAATAATTGCATTATATTGATTTGCACAACTATTTAATAAAATCATACATTGTTTCTAGTTTTCTCCTTGTTTCAGAAATTCGTCTTTCCTTTCTTGGAGACATTCTGGAGAAATTGTCTGTTTTACCAATCTATATTACACTTGATGCATAGACAGGGTTGGAGAATTTTCAGTCTGGTTTCCTTTGTATTATGTGTATCCCTCTTTCATATTTTGCTCATTTTGGTAGAAATGAGCTCCTATAATTTACTGACAAAGAAAAATGGGAAGTAAATTGTGTGAAAGTTATATGATAGACAAAATTTTAATTTTTTTAATTCCAACTTTTAAATTCAAGGGTACATGTACAGGATGTGCAGGTTTGTTACCTAGTTAAAAGTGTGCCATGCTGTTTAGCTGCACATATCATTCCATCACATAGATATTAAGCCCAACATCCTTTAGCTATTCTTCCTGATCCTCTCCCACCTCCCACTCCTCCAACCTCCAACAGGCTCCAGTGTGTGTTGTTCCCCCATGTGTCCATGTGTTCTCATCATTCAGCTCCCACTTATAAGTGAGAATATGTGGTATTTGACTTTTTGTTCCTGCATTAGTTTGCTGAGGATAATGGCTTCCAGCTCCATCGATGTCCCTGCAAAGGACATAATCTCATTCCTTTTATGGCTGCATAGTATTGCATGATGTATATGTACCACATTTTCTTTATCCAGTCTATCTTGGTGGCCATTTGGGTTGATTCAATGTCTTTGCTATTGTGACTAGTGCTGCAATAAATAAATGTGTGCATGTGTCTTTATTACAGAATGATTTATATTCCTTTGGGTATATAGTTAGTAATGGGATTCATGAGTCAAATGGTATTTCTGCCTCTAAGTCTTTGAGGAATTGCCACACTGTGTTCCACAATGGTTGAAGTAATTTACACTCCCATGAACAGTGTAAAAGCATTCCTTTTTCTTTATAACCTCGCCAGCATCTGTTGTTTATTGACTTTTTAATAATAGCAATTCTGACTGATGTAAGGTGCTATCTCATTGTGGTTTCGATTTACATTTCTCTAATGACCAGTGATGTTGAGCTTTTTTTCATATTTTTGGCCACATATTTTTTTTTTATGAGAAGTGTCTGTTCTTGTCCTTTGTCCACTTTGTAATGGTTTTTTTTTTCTTGTTAATTTGTTTATGTTCCATGTAGATGCTGGATAGTAGACCTTTGTCAGATGGGTAGATTGCAAAAATTTTCTCCCATTCTGTAGGTTGTCTGTTTACTCTGTTGATCATTTATTTTGTTGTGCAAAAGTTCTTTAGTTTAATTAGTCAATTTTTGGTTTTGTTGCAATTGCTTTTGGCATCTTTTTCATGAAATCATTGCCCATGTCTATGTCCCAAATGGTACTGCATAGCTTGTCTTCCAGGGTTTTTCAGTTTGGGGTTTTACATTTAAGTCTTTAATCCATCTTAAGTTTTGTATATGGTGTAAGGAAGGGGTCCAGTTTCATTCTTCTGCTTATGGCTAGCCAGTTCTCCCAGCACCATTTATTAAATAGGCAATCCTTTCCCCACTGCTTGTTTTTGTTCGATCAGACAGTTGTATGTGTGTGGTCTTATTTCTGGGTTCTCTATTTTGTTCTATTGGTTTGTGCGTCTGTTCTTGTACCAATACCATGCTGTTTTGGTTACTGTAGCTTTGTTATATAGTTTGTTGTACAGATTATTTCAACATCCAGGTATTAAGCCTAGTACCCATTAGTTATTCTTTCTGATCCTCTCCCTCCTCCTACCCTCCATCCTCTGATAGGCTTCAGTGTGTGTTGTTCCATGTGTCTAGGTGTCCATGTGTTCTAGGCGTCCATATGTTCTCATCATTCTAGGTGTCCATGTGTTCTCATCATTTAGCTCCCACTTATAAGTGAGAACATGTGGTATTTGGTTTTCTGTTCCTGTGTTAGTTTGCTAAGGATAGTGACCGCTAGCTCCATCCATGTCCCTGCAAAGGACATAATCTCATTCTTTTTTATGGCCACATAGTATTTAGAATGATTTATATTCCTTTGGGTATATACCCAGTAATGAAATTTCTGGGTCTAATAGTATTTCTGTCTTTGGGTCTTTGAGGAAACACCACGCTGTTTTCCACAATGGCTGAACTAATTTACACTCCCACCTGCAGTGTATAAGTGTTCCTCTTTCTCCACAACCTCTCCAGCATCTGTTATTTTTTGACTTTTTAGTAATAGCCACTCTTACTAGTGTGAGATGGTATCTCACTGTGATTTTGATTTGCATTTCTCTAATGATCAGTGATGTTGAGCTTTTTCTCATATGATTGTTGGCCACATGTATTTCTTCTTTTGAAAAATGCCTGTTCGTGTCCTTTGCCCAATTTTTATGGAGTTGTTAGTTTTTGTCTTCTAGTAAATTTCCTTAAGTTCCCTACAGATGCTAGATATTAAACCTTTGTCAGATGCATAGTTGGCAAAAATTTTCTCCCATTCTGTAGATAGTTTACTCTATTGAGAGTTTCCTATGCTGTGCAGAAGCTCTTTAGTTTAATTAGATCCTATTTGTCAATTTTTGGTTTTGTTGCAATTGCTGTGGCATCTTCATAATGAAATCTCTGCCCCTGCCTATGTCCTGAATGGTACTGCCTAGCTTGTCTTCCAGGGATTTTATAGTTTTGAGTTTTACATTTAAGTCTTTAATCCATCTTGAGTTAACTTTTGTGTATGGTATAAGGAAGGGGCCCTGTTTCATTCTTCTGCTTGTGGCTAGTTATCTCAGCATCATTTATTAAATAGAGAATTCTTTCCCCTTTGCTTGTTTTTGTTAGGTTTGTTGAAGGTCAGATAGTTGTAGGCCTGTGGTATTATTTCTGGGATCTCTATTCTGTTCCATTAGTCTAGGTGTCTGTTTTTCTATCAGTACCATGCTGTTTTGGTTACTGTAGCCCTATAGTATAGTTTGAAGTCAGGTAGCAACCATGATGTCTCCAGCTTTGTTTTCTTGTTGTTTTCATTTTTTGTTTGTTTTTTGCTTACAATTGCCTTTCTAGTCAGTCTCTTTTGTGGTTCCATATGAATTTTAAGATACTTTTCTCTAGCTCTGTGAAGAATGTAAATGGTAGTTTAATAGCAGTAGTACTGAATCTATAAACTGCTTTGGGCAGCATGACCATTTTAACAATATTGATTCTTTCTGTCCATGAGCATGGGATGTTTTTCCACTTGTTTTTATCATCTCTGATTTTTTTGAACAGTGGTTTGTGATGCTCCTTGTAGAGATCTTTCACCTCCCTAGTTAGCTGCATCCTAGGTATTTTATTCTTTTTGTCACAATTGTGAATGTGAGTCCCTTTATGACTTGGCTCTTGGCTTGATTATTGTTGGTGTATAGGAATACCAGTGATTTTTGCATATGATTTTGTATTCTAAGACTTTGCTGAAATTGTTTATCAGTTTAAGACGTATTTGGGATGAGATTGTGGGGTTTCTAGAGATAGTATCATGTTATCTGCAAACACAGATAGTTTGACTTCTTCTTTGGATGCCTTCTTTCTCTTGCCTGATTGCCTTGCTAGAACTTTTAATAGTATGTTGAATAGGAGTGGTGAGAGAGGGCATCCTTATCTAGAGCCACTTTTAAGGAGATTTTCCTCCTGTTTACTCTTTTGCACTGTTCTGATGACAACTTTGCTGTAATTCTTACCTTTTCCTCACTATGTAATGTATCTTCCCCATTCCTGGGCACTTTTAAGATATATTACTTTGGGTTTTGATATATTAGGGGGTCTGTATTAGATTTCCAGGGCTGCCATAACAAAATACCGCAAACTGAGCACTTGATCAACAGAAATGTATTACTTCACAGTTCTGGATAAAATAGAGTTCTGAAATCAAAATGAACAGAGTGGTTCCTCTTGAGGGCTGCGAACGACAATCTTTTCTCTGCCTTTGCCCTAGCTTCTGGTGGTTTGCTGGCAATCTTTGGCATTTCTTGGCTTATGGATGCATTACCCCAATATTTGCCTTTCTGTTCACATGAAGTTCTTTCTGTGTCTCTGTCACTTTATCTAAATACCTTCTTTTTATAAGAGTGCCATTTATGCTGGAAGTGCAAGACCATATTTCCCTCTCTGATCTAGTATCAAAAGTCTAGCTTTTGGTTTTTGTATCTTGCCCCAAAACATGATGGTCAGCCTAGATATCATTCCTCATATTCTGCTCTGGCTTTAACTCCTTTCAAATTCTGACACTGTAACTTTTAAGCATATTTATTACAGGATAATAGGAAAGGATACTTATTAGTTTATTTTTTCATATTGCCAATTCTGTGTTTTCAGTCATATACATACAAACATGTACACAATCTTTTTTCTTTTAGTTATGCATTACACAGATTTTCTAGTTATACATTTAAATGATAGAGAAAAATTAGACATGTTCTCAGATTTTTGTTTGTAATGATTAAAGAGCTAAGAAATATATCATTATTTATTTATCAAAGATAAATAATATGAAAAACACTTTGAGTCCACACTGTTAGCAAGCATTTTTTAATATCTTCTCACTTCAAATTTATTTTTTGTTTTGTTTTGGTCTTTGAGACAGGATCTCACTCTGTAGCCCAGGCTGGAGTACAGTGGTGCAATCAGCTCACTGCAACCCCAAACTCCTGGGCTCAAGTCATTCTCCTGCCTTCTCCCAAATAGCTGGGACTGCAAGTGTGCATCATCTTGCTGGCTATTTTTAATTTTTTTTTGTAGAGACGGAGTCTCACTATGTTGCCCAGGCTGGTCTTGAGTTCCTGGCCTCAAGCAGTCCTACTGCCTTGGCTTCTCAAAACGCTGGGATTAGAGGCCTAAGCCACTGCACCTGGCCCAAATTTCTTTACTGTGATTGTGTCTGACTCTCTGGCTTCTGTCCTGTCATTTCTTCACTTTAGTCATTATACACAACTTTTCGGTAGGTCCACATTCCAGCCCCCTATACGTATACATAATGTTGGGTCATTTCCCATACTTTGTATCTCAGCCTAAATATAAATTTCACAAAGAAGATGTTCTAACTACCTTACTTAACTACCTTATTTTATACCCCTCCATAAAATTTTCTATTGGAGTACTTTATTTTCTTAAAAGCATGTGTAACAATCTATTTTTACATAGAAAGTTTATTGCAGATTACTGTTGTCTTTCTCTCTTTCTATAATATAAGCTATAGATGTGAACAAAGTCCTTTTCTTTCATACATGCCACTGTATTCCTACCATCTATCATAATGCCTGACACATGAGTACACTGAATTGATATCTATTCATTGGATGAACTGATTCAATGAGAAAGTGAAATAAACATGTTGTATTGTATCAGAAATACCACCTGTTCAAAGCTATAGAATTTTGGCGTGCAAAATTTAAAACCAGAGACTATCATAGTTTGATTACTTGTTTCATGCTTCTTAATCAATAAATTACGGCAGATAAATAAATGGCATACCAAAATAATTGTTGTGAAGTATGCTTAACATAAGAAGTATTAAAATAGAAAATATGATAGGAGTAAAAATATTTCAAGTTATTACTTTTATTTTCACACATAATAATTTTCTTTTTCATGTCTTTTATTTTAGTATCCAGATGCAATAGGTTTGGAGGGATTTTCGGTTATTATAGCTCAACTGCTTGGCCTTAATGTAGGATTAACATATGATGACATCACTCAGTGTTTCTGTCTGAGAGCTACATGCATCATGAATCATGAAGCAGTGTAAGATGTTTTCTTAATTAATTTCATTTATATTTTTATAAGGTTGTTTCCAAAATGTGATAATGTTTTTAAACTTTTATATTCGGCACCACATCAATGGCTAGAAAGTTACATCATGCTTGTAAAGTTATCACACAAAAATTATGTATACTTAGGGATATATACTATAGATTGATCTATATCTTTGTCTGTGCACACACATACACATCACTGACATCGCATTCATATTCTTTCTTGTCATGCCCAACTTTTAAGCAGAGGTTTCAAAACTTAGTTGCTTTGTAACCATCTTAAACAAAAGTCTTATTTTGTAAACAATATTTTTAATTTTCAGTTGTTGGAAATTATATACTCCAGGTAGAAGATAACTTCTGAGTCCATATCTATTTATACACTAATTTTGTGTGAAGAGATTTTAGTGCTCAGTATTTGTAGCTTTTTGCATGAGAGTGTCTTGCAAAAGTATGGTAATACTTATTCCTATTAAAACAAAGTATTTTAAAATAATAGAGACAATCTGATTAAATAACATTATTCTGTGTAATATTCCTCTTACTTTTTCATATTTGTTCCACAACAAATGGCTGTTAAAATAAGCTAAGGCATTTCTTTTTGCTCTTAAACTTTCAACTCTGAAACTTTAGAAACTATACATTTCTTTCCTTGGAGGCTTAAAGGACTACCCAGAACCTCTGTCATCTCAGATTTTGCTCTTTAAGTATTGCTATCTGAGACGATTGTCTAACATAGTGCTATAGTGCTGTCTAATACATGATTGTCTACCTTGGTGCTATCCAATAGAAATAAAATGTGAGTCACATATGTAATTTTAAATTTTCTAGAAGCAATTAAACATAATGAAAATTAAACATAATTTTATGTTTTAATTAAACATAATTAAAAACAATTAAAACAATTAAAATAATCAGGTGAAATTAATTGTGGTAATATATTTTAATGATATATTTTATGTAACCCAATAGATCCAAAATATTATCACTTTAACAAGTAACCAAAATAAAAATTGTTAATTGGTTATGTTCTATTCTAGTGTGTATGTGTATTTGTGTTGGGTATGGATGGTGAGAGAAAGAACAGAGTCCAGGGTCACACCAATGCTATCAGCCTTTAGCAACTGAAAGAATGGAGTATTCAGCAACTGAGAACAGACATGGTTGTCATAAGTAGTTCAATATCACATACAGTATATTTGAAATGTGTGTTGTGCATCTATTAGACATTTCTCCTAGATATACTAGTGGAAATATACATGTGAACATGTAAATAAAGATCTCCCCGGGACTTATATTTTAGTGTGAAACTTAGGTAATATGAGATGAAATTTTGAAAATAAAAATTAATGAAGCTTATTTTTACATAATGCAAAAGTGCTGTATAGAAAAATATTGAAAGTAGAAGGAGAATGAAGAGGGGGCACAATTTAAGATAGTGTTGTCAAGAAGGATCTCTCTGGAGGGTAACATTTGAGCAGACATCTGACTGAAATGTGAAGGGGTGGCCTGCCCCTCCACACCTGTGGGATATCTCGTCAGGTGGGACGAGAGACTGAGAAAAGAAATAAGACACAGAGACAAAGTATAGAGAAAAACAGTGGGCCCAGGAGACCGGCACTCAGTATACCAAGGACCTGCACCGGCACCGGTCTCTGAGTTCCCTCTGTTTTTATTGATTATTATTTTCATTATCTCAGCAAGAGGAATGCGGTAGGAGAGCAGAGTGATAATAAGGAGAAAGTCAGCAAAAAAAAAAAAAAAAATCTGAGCAAAAGAATCTATGTCATAATTAAGTTCAAGGAGAGGTACTATGCCTGGATGTGCACGTAGGCCAGATTTATGTTTCTCTCCTCCCAAACATCTCAGTGAAGTAAAGAATAACAAGGCAGCATAGCTGCCAACATGTCTCGCCTCCCGCCATAGGGCGGTTTTTCTCCTATCTCAGAATTGAACAAATGTACAATCGGGTTTTATACCGAGACATTCAGTTCCCAGGGGCAGGCAGGAGACAGTGGCCTTCCTCTATCTCAACTGCAAGAGGCTCTTTTACTAATCCACCTCAGCACAGACCATTTACGGGTGTCAGGCTGGGGGACGGTCAGGTCTTTGTCATCCCACGAGGCCATATTTCAGACTATCACATGGGGAGAAACCTTGGACAATACCCGGCTTTCCAGGGCAGAGGTCCCTGTGGCTTTCCGCAGTGCATTGTGCCCCTGGTTTATTGAGTCTAGAGAATGGCGATGACTTTTACCAAGCATACTGCTTGTAAACATTTTGTTAACAAGGCACGTCCTGCACAGCCCTAGATTCCTTAAACCTTGATTCCATACAGCACATGTTTTTGTGAGCTCAAGGTTGGGGCAAAGTGGCTAGGGCAAAGTTACAAATTAACAACATCTCAGCAAAGCAATTGTTTAAGGTACAGGTCAAAATGGAATTTCTTATGTCTTCTCTTTCTACATAGACAGAGTAACAGTCTGATCTCTCTTTCTTTTCCCTACAAAATGAAGGAAGAAAGCTTGAACTATATAACAGAAGAGCACACTATGCAGAGGGAACAATAGATAGATGGTTAGATATAGAGATATGTAAATGCATAGATATAGATACATAGATTTAACCACCATACCTTATTGCATTACCTTGATGAGAAAATAGGTTTTTAATGCAATTTTTTAAGAGAATGTTAAAGATAAGCAATATTAAAATTTAATTATCCTTGGTTGAATCTCTGCTAAAGTATAAATTTTGGGGTGGCCATCTTGTGATTTACATGATTATGTATGGAGTGTTGTTTAGATGTGGTTTTATTAGCCAGGCTTATTTGCCTGAGGAATATTATTTTATTTTAGGAGTGCCAGTGGTAGAAAGATTTTTAGCAACTGCAGCATGCACGACTATAGATATTTTGTTTCAAAATTTGAGACTAAATGCCTTCAGAAGCTTTCAAATTTGCAACCATTACATCAAAATCAACCAGTGTGTGGTAATGGGATTTTGGAATCCAATGAAGAATGTGACTGTGGTAATAAAAATGTGAGTAACAAAGATTGAAACTCGAGCACAATTTTTATGTTTCTGATAAAACATAAGACATGTTTGTCATGGTATATATAAATGATATATGCAACAATGCCATTAATTTATAACTGAAATATGAGAAACAGGATGAGTTAAGATGTATAAATCACGTTCCCACAACTCTTAAACTGAGAAGGCAAGTCTGTCATTAACACTAGGTTTGCATTACTGTTGCCAATCATGCCAGCAGATTGATTTTGAATATATTGGCTAAATGAAGTCCTTTTTATTATACACATCTCAGTTCCTAACTCATTTGGCTTCATTCTCTATTTTCTCTACAAACTTTTACTAAATGTGATCCAAATTTTTCCCTATCTCTTGTTCTTGCAAGAATTGCTAAACATTATAATGAGGTTTTTAAATCCTTCTCAGACATTCCTGCATTTACAAATTTTTGAATGACCAAAATTTGTTTTATTTATTCATTTTAAAATATATGTATATACCCGATTATAATTTCATCAATCAAATGTTCAATGAACATTATTTTCAACAGGTGAGATGACATACTTAATCTATTTTAAATGTTATTATCTTATAATATTTAACAATTTGTCTCTATTTCAATAAAGTTTCTTCATGATTTATCCCCCAACAGTTACACGAATTCCTCCTCCCTACATAAACAGCTGTCACCACATTTTAACATACCATTAAATTCTCTCAATTCTTTTAAGTCATCCTATATTTCACAAGGTAAAACCTATATGTATGAGGCTGTGTGTATCTCTATATGTGTATATACACACACATATATCACACTTAAATGTATGTTGTACATATATAGTACACACACACATACATGTATATATATATATATGTTTCCAATTATCTCATATTTTCCCATGCTGTCTTAGTTTTCTGATAAGCTGTACTGTGCTCATCTTGCAGTCTCCTACCCCTAAATATGGTATCATTTACTGCCAATAAATACTAGCTATTTTTTATGAATCATAAAATAAAGCAACACAATCTGGGGCTAGGTTTTCACATTTTGGGTTTCTACAACTATAGAATGTAGGCAGATTGACACTAAGAGCAGATATAGCCAGTGTCCCATCAGTATTCCCTTTATATTTGCTGTTCCGGCAGTATTTTTGTTTCAAATATCAGAGACATTCTGCTGGAGTGTGCTTCCTGTTACCTCAGTGGTATGTGCATCCATTAGCAGGGTGGGCTCAATGTGCTTGGAAACTAATGACCAGCCATCAGATAATTATGATGGTGAGTACCAGATTCCTTTCTCCTTGTGAGGAAATTCTCGGAGGCATTTTCTATATCATAGTTCTTTAACTGTGGCCAGTTGGTTAAATCCAGCTGCCGCCCGCCTCTTCTTGTAAATGAAGTTTTATTGAAATACAGCCTTGCCCATGTGTTTGAATGTTGTCCATGCTGCTTTTGTGCTATAATAGCAGAGGTAAATAGTTGCAACAGATACTATATGACAAGCAAGTCTGGAAATAATATTTGATTTTTTACAGAAAACGTTTGTTAATCAAAAGGGAATTTATTGAGTAATTTGAACTATATGAAAGTTAAATGAAATGAAAACCAAGACATTTCAGAAAGATTCTATACAGAATCTGTGATAACACTCCTGACATCAGAGGCCCTGAAACACCATTACAGTTATCACAGATTCTATATTCAGTCACTTTGAAAACCAATTGTAGGCTTTTTGTAAAATAAATAAAGTTATAAATTTCTACTAATAGCAGTGAAGAAAAAATTTCTTATGCAATACTAAGAAATAAAAGGTATCAAATTCAGAAAATAAGTTAAATTGTCTCTGCAGATGACTTGATCATATATATAGAAAACCCTAGTGTCCAACAAAAATTTACAACTAATAAATAAATTCAGTAAAGTTGCAGGATACAAAATCAATATACAAAAATCAGTAGCTCTTCCTACACTAACAACAAACTGTATGAAAAAGAAATCAAGAACACAGTCTCATTTACAATATCTACAAAAAATAAATACTTGGGAATAAATTTAACCAAGGTGATGAAAGATCTGTATACTGAAAACTATAAAGCATTGTTGCAGGAATGAAAGGAAACAAATTAATGGAAAGATAAACCATGTTCAAGAGCTGGAAAAGTTAATATTGTTAAAATATCTATAGTGGCTAAAGTGATCTACATGTTCAATGTAATCTCTATCAAAATCCCAATAACATTTTGCACGAAAATAGAGAAACAATTTTCAATTTTGAAGGGGTGGCCTCCCCCTCCACACCTGTGGGCGTTTCTTGTCAGGTGGAATGAGAGACTTGAGAAAAGAAAGAGACACAGAGACAAAGTATAGAGAAAGAAAAGTGGACCCAGGGGACTGGTGCTCAGCATACAGAGGACCTGCGCTGGCACCAGTCTCTGAGTTCCCTCAGTATTTATTGATCATTATCGGGCGTTTCTCAGAGAGGGGGATGTGGCAGGACAATAGGGTAAGAGTGGAGAGAGGGTCAGCAGGAAAACATGTGAACAAATGTCTCTGCATCATAAACAAGGTAAAGAAAAAAGTGCTGTGCTTTTGATGTGTATATACATAAACATCTCAATGCCTTAAAGAGCAGTATTGCCGCCAGTATGTCTCACCTCCAGCCCTAAGGCAGTTTTCTCCTATCTCAGTAGATGGAATATACAATCGGGTTTTACACCAAGACGTTCCATTGCCCAGGGACAGCAGGAGACAGATGCCTTTCTCTTATCTCAACTGCAAAAAGGCCTTCCTCTTTTACTAATCCTCCTTAGCACAGACCCTTTACGGGTGTCGGGCTGGGGGACGTTCAGGTCTTTGCCTTCCCACGAGGCCATATTTCAGACTATTACATGGAGAGAAACCTTGGACAATACATGGCTTTCCTAGGCAGAGGTCCCTGCGGCCTTCCGCAGTGTATTGTGTCTCTGGGTACTTGAGATTAGGGAGTGGTGATGACTCTTAACAAGCATTCTGCCTTCAAGCATTTGTTTAACAAAGCACATCCTGCACAGCCCTTAATCCATTTAACCTTGAGTTGACAGCACATGTTTTCAGGGAGCACAGGGTTGGGGGTAGGGTTACAGATTAACAGCATCTCAAGGCAGAAGAATTTTTCTTAGTACAGAACAAAATGGAGTCTCTTATGCCTACTTCTTTCTACATAGACACAGTAACAGTCTGGTCTTTCTTTTCCCCACAAAATTTATAAGAAACCACATAAGACCTTAAAACCCAAGCAATTCTGAGTGAAAAGAGCAAAGTTGGAGGCATCACAATACCTGACTTCAAAATATACTATAAAGCTATAGTAATCAAAACAGCATGATAATGACATAAAAACACATAGATCAATGAAACAAAGAGCCCAAAAATAAATGGACACATTTATAGTCAATTGATTTGTGACAATAAAGGATGTTTACTAACTGGATATTCACATGTAGAAGAACAAAATTAGACTCTTGTCTCACAAAATATAAAAAACCAATGCAAAATGGACTAAAGACTTAAAACTAAGACCTGAAACTATAAAATTATTAGAAGAAAATATAGGAAAAAGCTCCACAACATTGGATCTGGCAATGATTCATAAATATGACACCAAAAACACAGACAGCAAAAGCAAAAATATAGAAATGGAATTATATCTAACTAAAAAGCTTCTACACAACAAAGGAAACAGTCAACAAAGTAAAGAGAGAACTTAAGGAATTAGAGGAAATATTTGCAAACTATACATCTGATAAAAGGTTAATATAAAAATATATAAAGAACTCCAACCACTCAATAGCAGGAAAACAATCCAGTTAAAAATGGGCAAAGGACCTGAATAGACATTGCTCAAAATAAGACAAACAAATGGACAACAGGTATATGAAAATATGCTCAAAATCACTAATAATCACAGTAATTCAAATTAAAATCAGAAAGAGATATTACCTCACACCTGTCAGAATACGATCATCAAAATAGATGAATGGTAACAGATGTTGGTAAGGGTGTGGAGTAAAGGAAACCTTTGCACACTATGATGGAAATATAAATTAGTACAGCCATTACAAAAACAGTATGGAGGTTCATCAAAAACTTAGAACTTCATATAATCCAGTGATCCCATTACTGGATATATATTCACAGGAAACAATAGCAGTATGTTGAAGAGATGTCTGCACTTTCATTTTAATTTCAGCCTTGTGTACAATAGCCAAGGAATCAACCTAAGTGTCTATCAATAAATGAATGGATTAAAAATCTGGTAGAGATACACAATGGACTACTATTCAGACTTTTTTAAAAGAAAAAATTCCTGTAGTTGGTGACAACATGGATGAACCTGGAGGACATGTTGAGTGAAATAAGGCAGGCATAGAAAGACAAATACATCATCTTCTCACTTATTGTGGAATCTAAAAATGTGAAAGTCATACCAGCAAGGAGTAAAATGGTGCTACCAGGGGCTGGGAGTGGGAAACTGGGGTGATGGTGGTCAAAGGATACAGAATTTAAATGAGATAGGAGGCATAAGTTCATGGTGACTATGGTTAATAAAGATGGATTGTATACTTGAAAATTGCTAAGAAAGTAGATTTTAAGTGTTTTTACCACAAAATAATCAGAAGTTTGTGTGTCAACGCATGTGTTAATTAGCTTGATTTAGCCACTTTAGAATGTATACATGTATCAAAACATCATGCTGTACATCATTAATACATAACATTTTTATTTGTCGATTTTTTAAAAAATGTATTTTTAAAAAAAACAACAATAATGGTCATTAAAGTTGAAATATCACTAAAGATCTATACAGATATTAAAAAATGGTAAGATGATATCATGTACATTATATAAGTAAACAACAATCAGATAAAATTGACAAATTATCCTAAAATTGTATTTATAAACACCAACATAAGTCAATATTAAAAAAGTGAATAAATAGCCTTAAAAGAAATCACATCCATAATTTCACAACCTCTCATCAGAGAGAAGTTCATGCCACATGACTCTACAAGTAATTATTTAAAAGTTAAGGAATTCTACTGATTTTAGACTTAGGAAAAAACCTAATATGCCCTAACTTCTTCGAGGATAAAATAATCTTGATGCAAAAATCTGATGAGGATATTTCAAGAATAGTTTTTATGTGTTTTTAATTGATATATCATAGTTGTACATATTTTGGGGGTACATGTTATATTTTGATACATGTATACAATGTGAAATGTTCAAATCAGGGTACCTGGGGTATATTTTCTTTGTGTTGGGAACGTTACAATTCTTCTCTTCTAGCTATTTTAAAATATGCAATAAATAATTTTAAACTATAATTTACTTATTGTGCTATTGAACACTAGAACTTATGTTTTCTATTTAATTGTATTTCTGTACCCATTAACCAACTTCTATTCATCCCACTTCCCTTCCCAGCCTCTGGTAACAACCATTCTACTCTCTGCCTTCATGAGATCCACTTTATATGCTTCCACACATGATTGAGAACATGTGATATTTGCCTTCTTGTGTCTGACTTATTTCACTTAAGATAATGTCCTCCAGTTACATCCATGTTGCTGCCACTGACAGGATTTCATTCCTTTTTTTTTTTTTTTTTTTTGGAGACAGAGTCTCGCTGAGTCACCAGGGCTGGAGTGCAGTGGCGCGATCTCAGCTCACTGCAAGCTCCGCCTTCCAGGTTCACGCGATTCTCCTGCCTCAGCCTCCCGAGTAGCTGGATCTCCTGACCTTGTGATCCACCCGCCTTGGCCTCCCAAAGTGCTGGGATTACAGGCGTGAGCCGCCGCACCTGGCTGATTTCATTCTTTTTATGGCTGAATAATATTCTATTGTGTATATAAACCACGTTTTCTTTTTCCATTCATTTGTTGATGGGCTCAGGTTGATTACACACCTTGGCTATTGTAAATAGTGCTTGCTGCAATAGACATGAGAGTGCAGGTATCTTTTGAGTATACTAATTTCCTCTCTTTTGGATGTATATCCAGCAGTGGGATTGCTGGATCCTGTGGTAGTTCTATTTTTTGTTTGTTGAGGAAGCTTCATACTACTTTCCATAATAACTATAATACTTTAGATTTCCATTAACATGTGCAAGCGTTTCCCTTTCTCAGCATCCACATTAGCATTTGTTATTTTCTGTCATTTTGATAATAGCCATTCTAACTAGGATGAGATGATATCTCATTGTGGGTTTGATTTGTATGTCCCTGATGATAACTGATGAATGTTTTCTTCATATATCTGTTGTCATTTGAATGTCTTATTTTGAGAAGTGCAGGGGATTTTTGTCCATTTTTAAATTGGATTATTTGGTTTTTGCTATTCGGTTGTTTGAGTTCCTTATATGCTTTTATATTAAGCTATTATCAAATGTGTAATTGGCAAATATTTTCTCCCATTCTTTAGGTTGTCTCTTCACTCTGTTAATTGTTTCATTTGCTGTACAGAAGCTTTTTAGCTTGATGTAATCCCATCCATTTTTACTTTTGTTCCCTCTGCTTTTAGTCTTGCTTAAAAAAAAACTTAGCCCAATTTCCCGTAGTGTTTCCACAATGTGTTCTTCTGGTAGTTTCATATTTTCAGGTATTACATTTAAGTCTTTAACTCACTTTTAGTTAATTTTTGTAAATGGTGAAAGATGGAGATCTAGTTTCATTCTCATGCATATAGATATTTCATTTTCCCAGTGCCATTTATTAAAGAGACTGTTCTTTTCCCAGTGTATGTTGTTGGATATATCCATATTTCTCATGAACACAAAATCTTCACTAAATGATTAACAAATTGAAAATAATGATACAACATATACATAAACAGTAACATTATGTTCTATTGTTGGGGATATTGTGGTTTATTTACAGAATGTAAAAAAAGTGATCATCTCAATGGATAGATAATAAATTTTGAGAAAAAAAGGAAAAGAGGGAAACTCACTATATTTAAGAAAGGGTATCTGTAAAATCTACAGTTAACATCATGCATAACAGTTGTTCTCACTGAGGTCAGAAATGAGGCAGTGATATCTGTTGTCATCTTTCACACTTATTATTGAATGTGATAAACTAGCCACCAAAGCAACAAAAAGAAAATGCATAATAGTTGGAAGAGAGGAAATTTAGATTTCATTATTTATAATCATATCATTGTATGCATGAAAACCCAAAATAATCTAGAAATAAATTATTTGCACGTATAAATGAATTTATCGAGGTCACTTGTTACATAGTCAATTCATAAAAATCAAATATTTCTTTATAAATGACTAGAAGAAAAAAATTTAAAACAACAGCATCTACAATAATACCCAGGAACATGAAATACTTAGGAATATATATAATAAAACATGTATAAGACTACTAAATATAAAACTGCAAATCATTAGGAGAAAAATTATGGGACTACTTAATCAATGCAAGGATATGTCATGTTTTAAAATTAGAGGAATTAATATTGCTAAGATGTAATTTTTTGTCCAAATTCATCATCCCGAAGTGCAATTCCAATTCATATGCTAGCAGGAATTGTGTTTGCATATGTGTTGGTATATGTAAATAGACAAGCTGATTTTCAAGTTTAAATGGAAACATGAAAGGCACAAAGCTAGCCAAGGTGATCTTGAAAAAAAAAACAAATTTGGTCCACTGAAATTTTCATAAATCTATTTTCATTATAAAATTATAGTTATTAAGGCAGTATGGTATATGTGCCTGGACAGACACAGACAAATGAAACAGAATGGAATCTAGAATAGACCTACATAAATATCATTACTGTTTTGTGACAAAAAGGACAGAGGAATGCAGTGTAGAAAGGATGCCTTTACAAAAAATGACGCTGGGACAATTCAATATACATAAGAAATAGTCTTTACCTATTTGGTTTATATATAGAACCTAATTTCAGATATATTGTTGATAAATGTGTAAAGGTAAAAAAACACAAAACAAAGTGTAAAACATAAGCGAATATGTAGTCTAATAATTTTCTCTAAATGTCAATATTACCTAATATTTACAAATTAGATGTTGATAAAATAAAATATCAGATAAGAGATTTAAAGGGTAGATTATACAATAGGAGATTGTTTTCTCCACATAAATGTGACAGGAGATATGTACTCAGATAAAGAATACATATAAATCAATAAGAAAATGACAGACTTTCAGAGAAAAGAATTGACCTAATTCTTAAACAGAAACTTTCAAAGTGGATTTACTAATCGCTAATAAATTTGTGAATCGATGCTCAGCATCCCAAAATGCAGATCAAAAGCATAATTTGAAAACAACAAAACACCATCAGAATGGCGAAAAAGAAAAAAATTGGTGAGGATAAGTAGCTATTAGGCACTACTGTTGGTAGTGAAAATTGGCACAAGTGAAAAGTGCTATTTTATTGTAAAGTTGAACACATACATAAATGTGATCCAGAATTTCAGTCTCAGGTATATATAAAACATAAAACATTCATATCATAATAGCAAAGAAAAGAAAGCAGAGAAATAGCCCAAATATTCTTCTTCAGCAAAATGAAAAACAAATTGTGCTATAATCATAAAATAAAGTATGCTGCACAAAACAAAGTGGTTGAATTCAATAAACATTATTTTGAGCAAGATAACCAAGGCCAAGAAAATTATAGTAAGTTAAAAAAATAAAACTATTATAGACTGTTAAAAGTCAAGATCACATTTCCTTTTATTGGTTAGTAGTCACTAAAAAGGTCTTTGTTTGTTTGTTTGTTTTTGTTTTTTGAGACAGCCTTGCTTTTATCATCCAGGCTGGAGTGCAGTGGCTTGATGTCAGCTCACTCTAACCTCTGCCTCCCAGGTTCAAGAGATTCTCCTGCCTCAGCCTCCCGAGTAGCCAGGATTACAGGTGCCCACCACCATGCCTGGCTAGTTTTTTCTTTTATTTTTGGTACAGATGAGATTTTGCTATGTTGCCCAGGCTGGTTTTGAACTCCTGGCCTCAAGTGATCCACCCGCTTTGGCTTCCCAAAGTGCTGGGATTACAGACGTGAGCCACAGTGCCTGGCCTAGTTACTAAAAAGGGGTTAAAGGGAACATCTCAAGACTTGATGACACTATTCATGTTGTTTTGGGGAAATGTCAATCTCTTCTAGAAGTGTATTCAACATATAACTTTAGATACGTTCATTTTAAAGGTAAACAGTACATCTAAAAAGTAATATATTGGAAATTGTATTTTGAATGAAAAAGACGTGAAAGAACAAAGCCTTTATAGTCTTAAAAATGAGAAGAAAGGAAAAGCAAAACAAAAAACCTATGATACCTCATAAATATTAAAAATATAATGATGTCATAGTAAGAACATAACATGTCAGGAATAGACATAACTGTTAAAAGGTTATATTTTCCTATTAAATGAGAATTATATTGTATTATAAAATATCCAGCTGTATGCTCTCTACATTTCCATATCTACAGTAATCAAAACACATAGGGAATTGTTTCGGGAATCTTTGAGCTGAGATTACCAATGGCACTCCTGCTGATGCAAATTAATAATTTGTTGCTTTTTATTAACTGAGTGAAATGAAACATTTATAAATCAAAGAAAAAGAACTTAAAAGAATCTATGGCAAATTCCTTAAATTGTTTTATTAATATAATTGTGGTAGGCAGAATATCATCCTCTCAAAGTTGCCCCCATCTCATCCTTGAACCTGTGTGCATGCTATTTCACATGGCAAAAGGAACTTCGCAGGTGTGATTAAGTTAAAGACCTTGTGATGGAGACAATATACCACATTATTCAGATGCATCCAATTGCTCAGATTTTTTAAAGCAGAAGAAGAAGGAGAAGAAAAGCTGATAGTGATGTGCTATGACAAGAATTTGACTTCCCTTTACTGGCTTTAAAGATAGAGGAAAAAAACATGAGCCGAGGAATTTGAGTGGCCTTCTATGAGCTGAAAAAGGCAGGAAAATAGATTCTACCAGAAAGCTTCCAGAAAAGAACGCAAGCCCACCAACACCTTGATTTTTAGCTCATTGGACTTCTACACTACAGAAGTTTAGATCGTATGTTTGCATGGTTTTAAACCGCTAAGTTTGTGGTAACCTGTTAAAGGTTACAGCAGTAAGAGGAAAAAAACACAGTTACACTAAGTAATAAGTAGGTTGTTTACGCTGGTTTCTTAGTTTACCACTGCTGAGATTTCTTTCCCAGAAATCTAAGTAAAAATAACACTGCATTAGGGAGGGTTGAAAATGGAATAATGCTTCTGGAGAGTACCGTACATGCCCCTCTTCATTATAACCTGAATGTTGGAGGGCAGATGTGCTATTACAACTTTTCTTATTTGAGTTGTGGAGAGGAGTACTTCCTATATTCTCTAATCAACATTTTAAAATAATATATTTTTCAAAATTGAGAACAAGATGAATAATAAATGTAAAGAACACTTCACATTTCCAACTTGATCTCTTGCTAGAAAACATTTAAAATAGTTTTGGGGAATGAGAATGTCTAAGTCTTAATATAGAATGCCTTCAGGGAAATTTGAGACAATTATAATGCATGAATGCATGACTGATTTTTAAAATAACCCATGGAATTTTGAAAATTACATATATTCTTTTTTCATTATAAAGTTCCCTTGCTATTAGATTATGCTTTTTAGTGACTGTTGTTATACATTATCTGATAATTGATTAGTTGTTTGATAGCTAAAATAATTGATTGGATTTTTACATGGAAAATTACCTACGAAATCTTAATTTTCAAACATATTTTCTAAGGATCCCCTAGTACTGGAATGAATAATTTAAAAAAAAAACAAGCAAATACACAAAAAAGCAAGTATGTGTGTGATATATTATGAAAGAAAACCAAATTATAAACATTGAACAGTATATAAGCAATAGCAATTACTAAAAATGTAAAAACTAAGAAGATGGGCAAGATAGTGAACTTAATATAATCAATGAGATGTCTCTGAAATATGTAAAACAAAATACGTGGAATATGCACATATCCATCCATAGAATATGCACCCTGAAATATATAAAACAAAATACATGGACCATGCACGTATCCATAGTTCATAAGGCTTTAATATACCTCTTTCAGGCTATCAAACAACTAATAAATTATCAGTAATTAACAACAGTCACTAAAAAGCATATCTAATAGCAAGGGAACTTCATAATCAAAAAAAGAATACACATAATTTTCAAAATTCCATGGGTTATTTTAAAAATCAGTCATGCATTAGATCATGCTGAAAATAATTATAGATACCAAAAAATCTGAAAATAAACGTGTATTCCCACAACATAATAAAGCTGGATATTAACCTAAAACACATTGTCCCTGACAATCCATCTGCAAAGAAAAAGAAATGCTTTATTTTTAAAGACATTTAAACTGGGGGGAGAGGTGAAGTCTTGAGTTTTTGTATGTGACTGAAGTTTTTATCAGTATACAATAATTTATTTTAACTATAAGATATTTTATGTAAGCCTTATGATAACCACAACGCAAAAAACTATGGCAGGTGCACAAATGAGAAAGGAAGTAAAACTTAACACAAAAGAAAATCACCAAATCACAAGGATAAACAACAAGAGAAGAAGAAAAGAACAAAAGATCTACAAAACAACCAAATAACAACTAAAAAAATGGCAGTAGTCAATTCTTGCCTATAAATAGTTACTTTGACTATAAATGGATTCGATTATTGAATCAGAAGACACAGAGTGGCTGAATGGATTTTTTAAAAAGATTAAATTATATGCTACATCCAGGAGCCTAGCTTTAGCTTTAAGGACCCACATAGGCTGAAAGTAAAGGAATGCAAGACTATATTTCATGCACATAGTAACCGAAAAAGAACAGGGACAGCTATATTAATAACAGATAAAGTAGACTTCAAGTGGAAAACAGTCACAAGAAACAACAAAATACTTAATGAAAATGGTATAATTCATCAAGAATACATAACAATTATAAATGCATCCAATACTGAAGTACCTAAGTATATAAGGTAAATATTAACAGACATTAAAGGAGAAATAGATGGCAATACAGTATAATAGGAGAGGATTTTAATACTCCACTTTCAACAATGGACATATCAACCAGACAGAAAATTAACAAGAAAGTACTGGAAAAGCTGTTTTAAAAGAATAATATGAACATTCCAGTCCTGTAATTAGGAAAATATAAAATAAGCATTAAAAAGTAGTAATTCTAATCAATAATAGCAAATGCAAACATTTATAATCTGTGCAATATTAATGCAATATTGTGCAGAAACAGAGTTAACGTACCAGCCCTGAAGTTGCCATCTTTAGAAAGACCTGCTTCTAAGGTTGGCCTTCAGTTCAGGTCTGAGAAGTTGAAGTTTTAAATGTTCCATAGGTGATAATGTTGGTTTGCTTTCCCAGACTGTGATGTTGAACAATTTAATTTATGGTAGATACCTGCTTCCTTTTGGGATTCTAGAATTTTGGTTACTGTGATTGATCATTTAAGTACATGATCAGGATGCCTATATGACCATACTCAAATAAAAAAAAAACCAAAAAACAACTGTTTCTTCTTCTTCTTTTTTTTTTTTTTTTTTGAGGGAGTCTCGGTTTGTCGCCCAGGCTGGAGTGCAGTGGTGCGATATCGGCTCACTGCAGGCTCCGCCTCCTGGGTTCACGCCATTCTCCTGCCTCAGCCTCCCAAGTAGCTGGGACTACAGGCGCCCACCACCACACCCGGCAAATTTTTTTTTTTTTTTTTTTTTTTTTTTTGTATTTTTGGTAGAGTTGGGGTTTCACCGTGTTAGCCAGGATGGTCTCTATCTCCTGACCTCGTGATCCGCCTTCCTCAGCCTCCCAAAGTGCTGAGATTACAGGCGTGAGCCACCATTCCCAGCCTCTCTTTTCTATATTTTTATAATGTTTCTTTGCAGTCTCTAATTGGTCTGTTAATGGTGCCTATCAATTTGAGTAATTTGTAATATTCTTGTTCCTTTAGGACTATTGGGTTTTATGTATTGATTATCAAGACCTCCACCATGCCAAGACTATAAAACAGTATCAGTACTTTATTCTTATATTTTATTGCTAATTTTAAGGCTTATAGCTTTACTTTTTGTAAAATGTATCCCTCTATATGCTGTGAAATATTTGTTCAAATATTTATTAGCAGTGATACATGTGAACACAGGTACAAATAAGGTGCATGCAGCCACATTTGTATGGGTGAGTGGGTACAAAACAGAGCTTCCATTTGTGAAAAATGGAGGATATTTATGAAGATACAGGTGTCAATGCCCTTTCGACAAAGACTACCTAGAACATATCCGTAGTGTTACAAATTAGGCTTATTTTATATATATATATTTTATATATATATAAAGGCAACCAGATATCATATAAAATCTGTTTCTGTTATCTAATAGGAACAGGGAAAGAAAAAAGCTCTGCTATGCAAAATGGTCAAAATATATGATTATTTAATTCATAAATAAAATTGCACAAATGCAAATTTATGCACAAACTCACTGGTAATCAGAGAAGTAATAATGAGAGCTTTGAGATCAGTTTTTCCATTCCTTGTTACAAATTAAAATGATTGGTCATAATTAGTACTGCTAAGTATTGTGGTACAGGGAGAGCGTCTTCATTAATTACTAGTGAAAGAATATATACACACACATACATTTATACAGCATTATTTAACTTTGGAAGGTTAAACAGTAAATTATACAATGTGATTACCCCTAGAGAATCTGGAGTATGTAATTACAATTTCAACTTCTGCTCTATATTTTATATATTATTTGATTGTATAAGCATACGTCCATTTACATGCATACATATGAAAAAGTGTGAACAAATGGAAATTTCAAAATTAAGAAGAATCCTGCCTTTATATTAAAGGACAAGATCTTTGAAACTAGATCTCTGAGTAAATAAAATTGTTTAATAAAAGAGTTAAGAATATAAAAATATGGTGTAAATGCAGTGTTATTTACATACAAATAATATTTGTTTTTTAAGATTCTTTAAAGTTATTACCTAATTTATTTGTTTATTTATTTGAGATGTAGTCTCACTCTGTCACCCAGGCTGGAGTGCAGTGGCATGACCTTGGCTCACTGCAACCTCTGCCTCCCAGGTTTAAGCGAGTCTCTTGCCTCAGCGTCCTGAGTAGCTGGGATTACAGGCACACACCACCACGCCTGGCTAATTTTTGTATTTTTAGTAAAGGTGGGGTTTCACCATGTTGGCCAGGCTGGTCTTGAACTCCTGACCTCAAGTGATCTGCCCACCTTGGCCTCCCAAAGTGCTGGGATTACAGGCGTGAGCCACTGCACCCAGCCCCTATTTGAATAATAATTGACTGCCATTTACTTTTTAAAAATAATAGGTATAGTCTTTTTTTGTTGATTTCTATTATAGTAAAACATGGTACATAAATATATACTAAGTACATTTTTATTCTACTTACTGCCTCACTCTAACTTTATTTACAATTGGAATCCTTAGTAAACAAATCACCCATGAGACCCTTGAGAAAAGTTTGTTTCTCCTAAAAACCACCTTTTCATTCCCCCAAGGATATGTTTTGGTGTTGGTAACTTACGAGTTAATTATGAAATATTTTAGCTGATGAATATTGCTGACCAACTGCTATTTTAGATGTTATTTCTGCAGTTCTTACACTTGCATGTACCTGTGGCTATTCTAGAAATAGTAAAATAGGGTCTGGCATGGTGGCTAACTCCTGTAATCCTAGCACTTTGTGAGGCTGAGGCAGGAGGATCATTTGAACTAAGGAGTTTGAGACCAGCCTGGGCAAGATAGTGACACCTAGTCTTTACAAAAAAAAAAAAAAAAGAAAAAAAATATCTGGGCATGATTGCTTACACCTCTGGTCCCAGCTACTCAGGAGGCTGGGGTGGGAGGATCACTTGGATCTCACTGGTTGAGGCTGCAGTGTGTCATGATCACACCACTGCATTCCAGCCTGGGTGACAGAGTGAAATCCTGTCTCAAAAAAAAAAAAAAAAAAAAAAAAAAAAAGAAGAAGAAAAGAAATGGTAAACTAATACAGCTTCATTGGAATTATACAATTATATTGTATAACTACAAGTTTGTACACAACAGAATATTAAATTGAAATTGAGATTAAGAAACAAGAGCTTTTAAGTGGTTAAACTGTAATAATATTTCTTCCTGTAAAATTTTAGGAATGTCAATTTAAGAAGTGCTGTGATTATAACACATGTAAACTGAAGGGCTCAGTAAAATGTGGTTCTGGACCATGTTGTACATCAAAGTGTGAGGTAAGTTACTAACATTCATTAAAAGCAAATTGAACTGTGGTAAGAGACGTCTGTATTAACTGAATCAATGTGCAATTAATAAAAAGAATATATAAGGAATTTAGTGAAATAAAATGTAGAGTGCATGAACAAACACAAGTTTAAAGGAAAATTGCTATAAAATATAAAAGTCATCTCAGACAGGTACGGTTGCAGTTACTATATGCATGGGCTCCACATACTGAACCACTTAATACGTGCAAACATGAATTAGGTGCATTAGCATGATGCATGTGAGATTTATTCCTGTTGTGTCTATTAGCAAATAATTCCTTTTTGTTGCTGAATAGTATTGCAAATATTGTAAAGATATGCCAGAGTTTATTTTTATTTTTGTCTTTATTCCCTAAACAATACAGTATAACTATTTACATAGCATTTATATTGTATTAGGTAATATAAGTAATACAGAGATAATAAAAATATATGAGAAGATGTGTGTAAGTTATATACAAATGTTACAAGATATTATGTAAAGGACTTGAGTGCCCATAGATTTAATATGCCTGAGGGTTCCTGGAACCAAATGCCCATGGATTCTGAGTGATGATTCTATTCTTTAGTGTTAAAATCACAAAGTTTACCATCTTCTAAATTATCAGATAAAAGGGAGAAAAAACACACATTACTACATCCAAAAAGTTATTAACTCTCAAATAAATTATAAAGTCAAATAAATGATGAATGATTATGGAAAAAATTGTAGCATGAATAGCAGACAAAATATGCAGCATATAGAATGTGTAAAGAACTCTCATTGATAACTGAAATGCAAATCATACACATACAATTGAAATGAACAGTATTTATTGATATTGGAATGATTACATAATTATATATTGTACAAGAGTTAGTAAATATGGACTAAATATTAATGCAGTAATATAGTATTATGTCCAAGACACACATTTGGATAAGAAAACAAGTTCCTTAGTAGCAAGATATTTTATTATTCCAATTCTGGTAAATCACCTCTATGTAAATATTCTATGTATTTTTTTTGTTGAATTTAGCTATTAATGTATAATTTAATATACTAAAATTCTGTTAGTGAATATTCCCAAGTGTCAGAAGAAACATATTTAAGCTTATAACTAGCATCATAAAAAGGATAGGTGATGTCATCACTCCTCTCTCACATTTCCCTGTGCC
Source organism: Homo sapiens (assembly GCF_000001405.40). Taxonomy (NCBI): domain Eukaryota; kingdom Metazoa; phylum Chordata; class Mammalia; order Primates; family Hominidae; genus Homo; species Homo sapiens. The sequence goes on from NC_000008.11 coordinate 39,665,082, forward strand.
TCTTTATACTCAGTCCATGACTCCACCCGCAGCCCCTGGTAACCACTGATCTGTTTTCTGAAGCTGTAATTATGCTTTTGCAAAATTATCACATAAATTGAATCATACAATATGTGCAAATGTGAAGCAGGCATCTTAACATAATGTATTTGAGATACATTCATGTTCTTATGTTTATTAGCAGATCATTCCTTTATAGTGACTGCATATTAGTAGTATTGCAAGGATTGTAAGGATGTACCACAGTTCATTCATCCATTCCCCAGTTGAGGGATATTTTGGCTGTTTTCCATTTTTGGTGATGAAAATATGGCTACTTTAATATTCATAAGCATATTTGTGCATGAACATAGTGTTTCATTTCACTTAGCTAGATACCTAGGAGAGGGATTGCTGGATCATATGGTAAATATGGAACTTTATAGGAAATTGAAAAACAGTCTTTCAAAGCAACTGTACTATCTTGAGTTCCCACCAGACACTTATGAGACTTACGGTTGCTTTGTAAATTGAATGTAAACACTAAAACTATAAAATATATGGTTTTGTGTTATCTTTGCTACTGATTTGTTATTTGTACCTTTTAAAAATCATTTAAATCATTGATCCATACAAATTATTGATTATAAATTACTGATTAACCATTGCTTTATGAATCATTAATTAATCAGGCTAATTTCATATTTCATTTCATGTGTAGTGAATAATTCTTATAATAGAACATGATCATATACCATAAAAACAAAATATGTTTTTACTATTTTTGCTGTATAGTCTTTTATCTTTTAGAGTAAATAAAAGAAGAAAAAAAATTAAATGAATTAACATCATTTGTTTCATTTCAGAGGTCTATTTTCTTTTGCAGATTTCTGTTTACTATCATATTTCTTGTACCTGAAGACCTCCCTTTACTATTTCTTGTCATTTATGTCCTCTGAAAATAAATTATCTCAGTTTTTTTTGTTTGTTTGTTTGAGACAGGGTCTGGCTCTGCTGCCCAGACTGGAGTGCAGTGGCACTATCTCTGCTAGCTGCAACCTCCACCTCCTGGGCTGAAGCCATCCTTCCACCTCAGCCTCCCAAGTAGCTAGGACTACAGGCACACACCACCATGCCCAGCTAATTTTTGTATTTTTTGTAGAGATGGGGTATTCCACCATGTTTCCCAGGCTGTCCTTGAACTTCTGAGCTCAAGCAATCTATCCCCCTAGGCCTCCCAAAATGCTGGGATTACAGATGTTAGCCACCACGCCTGGCTACTCAGTTATTTTTTGTCTAGGAAAGTCTTTGTGTCTCATCCTTTTTTGAAATATATAGTTACAGGGTATGGAATTCTAAGTTGAAAAAGTTGTTTTTAAATTTCATCACTTTTAAGTTACCATTTCTTTTATTTATTATGCATCTTTGTTTCATTATTGAATATTGTATTAGTTGGTTTTCATGCTGCTGATAAAGGCACACCTGAGACTGGGAAATTTACAAAAGAAAGAAGTTTAATGGACTCGCAGCTCCTCATGGCTGGGAAGGCCTCACAATCATGGTGGAAGGTGAAAGGCACATCTCACATGGCGGCAGACAAGAGAAGAGAGCTTGTGCAGGGAAACTGCTTTTTATAAAACCATCAGATCTTGTGAGACCTATTCACTATCATGAGAATAGCACAGGAAAGACCTGCCCCCTGATTGAATTATCTCCCACCGGGTGCCTCCCATCACATGTGGGAATTATGGGAGCTACAATTCAAGATTAGATTTGGGTGGGGACACAGCCAAACCGTATGAAGTATTAATTTCATCAAACTGGATTGTATTTTGTGTGTGTGTTTGTGTGTGTGTTTGTGTGCATGTGTGTGACATCAACATATATAGCAGGACAGCATTTCAACATGGTGAACTTCACTATGGATGGCAATCTATTAGGTCAGGCCACCACAAAATTTTGGCAATAACTGTACACCTCACCTAAGTGATGCAAGGAGGCGTTTATGCTCTTAGATAATAATAAACATATAAAAATGAGGCCAGGTGTGGTGGCTCAAGACTTGGCGCGGTGGCTCATGCCTGTAATCCCAGCACTTTGGGAGGCCAAGGTGGGTGGATCACCTGAGGTCAGGAGTTTGAGACCAGCCTGACTAACATGGTGAAACCCTGTCTTTACTAAAAATACAAAAATTAGCCAGGCGTGGTGGCATGTACCTATAATCCTAGCTACTCGGGAGGCTGAGGCAGGAGAATTGCTTGAACCTGGGGGATGGCAGTTGAAGTGAACTGAGATCATGCCACTTCACTCCAGCCTGAGCAAAAGAGCAAAACTCCATCTCAAAAAAAAAAAAAAAAAAAGATGCTGATATGATGATAGCTATCATATATGCACACTGCACTGCTTACTATGTATTGTTCTAAGAACTTTTTCCATTACTCCTGTTCAATACTAATAAGAACTCTATGAGAATTTGTCTTTTATTCCAAGCTTACAAAAGTAAAACAGATAGATTGTGTTTCTCACCCATACAAATAAGGTAGTAAGAGTGAGAGACTGGGACTGAAACCAGGAAGTCTGGCTCCTGAGTTTCTCCAAGAACAAAAAGGTAGAGACAGTGTTCCTATAGTTCCAAGGAACAGGTATGTTTAATCTAATGCTGTTTGAGTCAGCTTATTTCAAAATGTAGAGCACAAAGGAGGTGAGCAGCTGCAAACTCACTGTCAAAAGGAATTCTTTCACGTCTTTGAGACAGTTTTCTCTGGGCTTCACAATGAATACTGTATTTGATTTTTTTTGGCAAACTCACGGACTTGGGAACTCTGGTGTTCCCTCAAATATCAATAATTAGAAACATTTTATGTGATAAATCTTTTCACTAAGCAATTGAGAAAAATGATTTACAGAACTTAATTTTATTTTTCCTTTTCCTCCCAGTTGTCAATAGCAGGCACTCCATGTAGAAAGAGTATTGATCCAGAGTGTGATTTTACAGAGTACTGCAATGGAACCTCTAGTAATTGTGTTCCTGACACTTATGCATTGAATGGCCGTTTGTGCAAGTTGGGAACTGCCTATTGCTATAACGGACAATGTCAAACTACTGATAACCAGTGTGCCAAGATATTTGGAAAAGGTATTGCTCTTTCTTTCGTATTTATTTTACCTTACATTTGCATCTCTCTGTAGAGTACATTATGTACCACACAACTCTAGAAGTGGAAGAAACTGAACCACAAGATTAATAAAAATTAAATTTTAGTTAAAGAAGAGTAGTTTTTTAAGAGTATCTGAGGTTTTCCAAGAAAAAGACCATACATTATTTTTATTGTGGTTTGATTTTTGTTTTTGATGATTAGCTAGCTGGGCAAAAATCCATATTTACAGCTCATCATTTATATAAACATTAAAATCAGTAGATTCTAAAATTTATATAATTTCCTATTACTACCCACATTCATGATTTAATTTTAATGGCATGAAACTTACAAGGCTCAGAGTGAATTTCATTTAAAAATAATCATATTTCCTAACTGAGGAATAACTGCTAAGATAATGGTGGTCTTAAGCCACCTGATCAAAATTCATTTTTATGTTTTGTTTTTCAAACAGCTTTGAGAGTAATTTTAATAAGACTTGTGCATATATTCTTGCTTTTCTGGTGAGCAATTATTCATAATATCCAAATATAATTTTGTATTTTTAGAGAAATTAAAATAATAGAAACAGATCAAAATTACCCAGTGAAATGCATATATATATAATTATTTTCTAGTTGAGTAAAGGTGGTTTATTTGCCCAGTGGTAAGCTCAGGAATATAATTTGTACCAAATTACATTGTATATGGTCCATCTTGTCTTCCTAATTATTTGAGTAATAAATTTCAGATTAGGAGGCTTAAACGAAATTCAACAAAAGCTGCAGAACTATGATTTCTTAAATCACAAGTCAGTTCTATTTTCTGTGTGCTATTTTTCTAGAATGCTACTTTTTATGTGTGTGTGTTTTGTTTTTTTAATACTTATTTCTGTTTGAATAGTATTGTTATTTTTAAGCAGGGTTTAAAATATCTCTTAAAGGTAAAATTAAATAATACTTTCTGTAAGGTTCATTAAGTAGCGTCTACAATATATTCTTTTATTTTTTAATTAAAAAAAACTTCAACCTAGAATTCATTTACTTGACACATGACATCTTTTTTGAGTTCTTTTTTGTTTTTTTTAAATTTTATTATTATTATACTCTTTTTTTTAAATTTTATTATTATTATACTTTAAGTTTTAGGGTACATGTGCACAACATGCAGGTTTGTTATATATGTATACATGTGCCATGTTGGTGTGCTGCACCCAGTAACTCGTCATTTAGCATTAGGTATATCTCCTAATGCTATCCCTCCCCCCTCCCCCCACCCCACAACAGTCCCCAGTGTGTGATGTTCCCCTTCCTGTGTCCATGTGTTCTCATTGTTCAATTTCCACCTATGAGTGAGAACATGTGGTGTTTGGTTTTTTGTCCTTGCCATAGTTTGCTGAGAATGATGGTTTCCAGTTTCATCCGTGTCCCTACAAAGGACATGAACTCATCATTTTTTATGGCTGCATAGTATTCCATGGTGTATATGTGCCACATTTTCTTAATCCAGTCCATCATTGTTGGACATTTAGGTTGGTTCCAAGTCTTTGCTATTGTGAATAGTGCCACTATAAACATGCGTGTGCATGTGTCTTTATAGCAGCATGATTTATAATCCTTTGGGTATATACCCAGTAATGGGATGGCTGTGTCAAATGGTATTTCTAGTTCTAGATCCCTGAGGAATCACCACACTGACTTCCACAATGGTTGAACTAGTTTACAGTCCCACCAACAGTGTAAAAGTGTTCCTATTTCTCCACATCCTCTCCAGCACCTGTTTTTTCCTGACTTTTTAATGATCGCCATTCTAACTGGTGTGAGATGGTATCTCATTGTGGGTTTGATTTGCATTTCTCTGATGGCCAGTGATGATGAGCATTTTTTCATGTGTTTTTTGGCTGCATAAATGTCTTCTTTTGAGAAATGTCTGTTCATATCCTTCACCCACTTTTTGATGGGGTTGTTTGTTTTTTTCTTGTAAATTTGTTTGAGTTCATTGTAGATTCTGGATATTAGCCCTTTGTCAGATGAGTTCTGATTGCAACAGAATGTTTAGCAAAATGTATATTCCTATAATATATGTTCTAGGATCTCCAAAAAACTAGTATGAATGCATCAAAAATTTCATCCTCTGATGCAGTGTTTTGTTCATCCCCTAATTCATTCATTTCCCATTTTCTCCTTGATTCATTTACTTAGCTTTTTACTTGCAGGCATTTTTCTTCTGTTACCAAAAACCACAGGTGGTATATTATATGGGACATGTTAACTAACAAGTAGTTACATTAAGTTTGCATTCTTTTATTAAGTAAATTTAAACTTTTAAAGAAATGTTGAAATATAAGTAGATTTGCTTAATCAAAATTATACATCGAGTGTCTAAATGCAAAGAGCCTGCAATATTCAACCAGATGGACATTGCCATATGATTATTGTACTCATGGAGCTTAATGACTAAGAGAAAAAGACAGTAAAACAAAAGAAATATAAAACCTATAGCTGTGTTCTTTGCATTTAAAACAATAAAAATAGAATGCTAAAAGAAAATCAAGGTAGTGAATAAGGAAAATACCGCCATCTGTCATCAAGTAGTCTTCAGCTATCAGCTCTTCCAGAATTTGCCTCAACTGCAAAGAGAGCTTTTGCCCAAAGGCACACACTTCTCAAGCCAGCACACATGCAATGATTACGTGAGGTGGGGGTTTTATACAAAAGTCTGCCTCTTTTGGCCCAATCAAACACACACTGGCAGGTTATTTATACCACACAGCTACCTATTAGTCTGTTCAAGAACTTGTTGGATTTGCATCCCAGTTTGAATTCTCCTCTGCTCCATCCAGCTTCCTTCCCATTTCCAAATATTCTGATCTTTAATAAATAGCCTTCATCGTATGCCTCAATTAGATGTCAGCTCCTAGATGTCCCAACTACTAACAGTTGGTAATGAGAGTGGAGTGAGTAAATACAGACTGAAAGATGAGTTTTCAAATCCAAATCACTCTCTGCCAGGCTATCAGTGAGCACCTCATCACTGGTGGAAGTTGATAATATACTCTCTCAGCAGATTGGGATAGTATACTTGTAAGAGAGAATACATTAGCTGGTACAATTGAAATTAATGGGGCAAATAGTAACTTTAAGGGTAATGGCATTAAATGGCTATTGCCAAATACCATTGAACTTAGGAAAATATAACAAAAGGGCATGCATTTGAAAGCAAAGCGTGAGTCTAGAGGGCCTCTGCTAACTTATAAAGAGCCCCTCATCTTTTAAAAAAGAGGTTAGAGAGAGATGAGGAAGACTTAATTGAGAAGTTAAACTCTATATAAGTTTGAATTCCTTATCAGGTATATTTTTCAGGTTTGGGGTTCCAATTGGGAGAAGAATGGGACCTACCCTTGGGATGGAGACAATTGAAAATATGACTACCCTAATTTTGAGGCTCCAGGCTTCTTTGAGTCTATTGAACCTATAGAATGGCTTAGATCTGATTCCTCCCCCGTCCCTCTTCATAACACGAAGTGTATTCTCATCAGTATCTTCTCGCTATCCTTCGTGGCCACTAGCTGAAAATAGAGAAAAGGCACAGAATAATAGAGACAGGGATGTGATGGACTTTATAAAGCAGTAAGGAAACTATACTCCAAAAAAGATTTGGTCCTAGCCAGCAGTTACTGCTGGCATCAGGGAAGTACACAAGGGACTGAGTTCTGAGAACCTGATCATGAGATAGAATAGAGGAACACAACATGGGATGGGGGGTATTTATTGTTTTGGAAACACTCTCCTAAAGTACAGCATTTAACATACTGGCATGGATCCTAGAAGACAGTAAAATCTTTCTACTAGGATGGCTTCCAGCAGCATGGAAAAAAAAAGATTACTCGCCCTAAGTGAAATTTAAATGACAGAATTGCCATAGCAGATAGTGGAAAAAAGAAGAAAAAGGCTCAGGGAAGTGGGAATACTGTAATCTATGTACTGTGTATTTAAGGCCAAATGATTTGGCCAAACAGGAAAGCCCAAGGCCATAAGGAATGTGCTAGAGAAAGGGATACCATATTCACCATAAATTTCAAAGATGGCTTCCTCTGCAGGTCAGAGTGGGAATGCCACTACACTCACCGGTAGCAATGGATATGATAAGATCTGGAAAAATCAAGACCAGATAGCAGTGCTTACCTACCAGAAGCCAGATGAATAATGTTGTTATAAGCAGTAGATATGCAGTAGCAGACATGGGTACCTTCCCTACCAAGTGTCAGGGAGAGAGTTAATATAATACGATTTCCCTGTGTTCTGTGAGCAGCCAATGAGGGTACTACTCAATTTGTTTCATTAAAGGAAATGTATAAAAATAGATGACCAGGAGACTGTGGAGAGTTGTCTCAGTAAATATCGCAATGTTAGGTCCACACTCTGAATCTAAACCAATTTTCAGAGCCAGAACTCATTGACTTAAGTGGGAGCAAGGGCCATAGAAGAAAATCCCCATAACACCTTGTTAACTGTTCCTCTCATATGTTCCCATATGGACTTACAACCATTTAATCACGTATCTGTTCACTGGGGAAAAGAAAATATCCAAACATTTTAAAAACTAGTGGACACAGACTGCATTGACATTAATATCCAGAAGCCCAATGTGATCATGGTCTCCCTGTGAGAGTGAGGACTTAGAGACACCAGGAGTTAAATAGAGTCCTGGCCAAGTTTCAGTTTACAGTGGGTCTGCTAGTTCCATAAATCCATTTGGTTGTTATTTCTCAGACCTAGTGTATATAATTGGAGTTGGCATATTTAATAGTTTGTGCAATTCCCTCAGTGGGGCTTTAATGTGTTTGATGTCTGTAACCGCCTGTTTCAAGAAATTAGTGCTACTTTTAAAGATCTAAAGGATGCAGGGGTGGTTGGCTATATATTACACACATTTAATTATTCAATATGATCCCTGCAGAAACAAGATGATCCTGGAAGATAATATTTAACTACTACAAATGTAATCAGGTAGTAGACTTGATTGCATTCACTGCGCCAGGGTATGTCCATGCTAGAGCAGATTAGCATGGCCTCAAATATGTGTGAGAAGTGTAACCCCTGATTTGGCAAGTGTATTATTATTATTATTATTTATTGTACTTTAAGTTCTAGGGTACATGTGCACAACGTGCAGGTTTGATACATAGATATACATGTGCCATGTTGGTTTGCTGCACCCATCAACTCATCATTTACATAGGTATTTCTCCTAATGCTATCCCTCTCCCCACACCCCACCCCCCAACAAGCCCCAGCATGTGACGTTCCCCGCCCTGTGTCCAAGTTATCTCATTGTTCAATTCCCACCTATGAGTGAGAACATGCAGTGTCTGGTTTTCTGTCCTTGTGATAGTTGGCTGAGAATGATGGTTTCTCTGTCTCTTTCAGTTCTGCTCTGATCTTAGTTGTTTCTTGCCTTTTGCTAGCTTTTGAATTTGTTTACTCTTGCTTCTCTAGTTCTTTTAATTGTGATGTTAAGGTGTCGATTTTAGATCTTTCCTGCTTTCTCTTGTGGGCATTTAGTGCTATAAATTTCCCTCTACACACTGCTTTAAATGTATCCCAGAAATTCTGGTACGTTTTATCTTTGTTCTCATTGGTTTCAAAGAACATCTTTATTTCTGCCTTCATTTTGTTATTTACCCAGTAGTCATTCAGGAGCAAATTGTTCAGTTTCCATGTAGTTGTGCGGTTTTGAGAGAGTTTCTTAATCTTGAGTTCTAGTTTGATTGCACTGTGGTCTGAGAGACAGTTCGTTGTGATTTCTGTTCATTTACATTTGCTGAGGAGTGCTTTACTTCCAATTTTGTGGTCAATTTTAGAATAAGTGAGATGTGGTGCTGAGAAGAATATATATTCTGTTGATTTGGGGTGGAGAGTTCTGTAGATGTCTATTAGTCCTGCTTGTTGCAGAGCTGAGTTCAGGTCCTGGATATTCTTGTTAACCTTCTGTCTCGTTGATCTGTCTAATATTGACAGGGGGGTGTTAAAGTTTCCCATTATTATTGTGTGGGAGTCTAAGTCTCTTTGTAGGTCTCTAAGGACTTGGTTTATGAATCTGGGTGCTCCTGTATTGGGTGCATGTATATATTTAAGATAGTTAGTTCTTCTTGTTGAATTGATCCCTTTACCATTATGTAATGGCCTTCTTTGTCTCTTTTGATCTTGGTTTAAAGTTTGTTTTATCAGATACTAGGATTGCAACCCCTGCTTTTTTTTGCTTTCCATTTGCTTGGTAGATCGTCCCCCATCCCTTTATTTTGAGCCTATGTGTGTCTTTGCATGTGAGATGAGTCTCCTGAATACAGCATGCTGATGGGTCTTGACTCTTTATCCAATTTGCCAGTCTGTGTCTTTTAACTGGGGGCATTTAGCCCATTTACATTTAAGGTTAATATTGTTATGTGTGAATTTGATCCTTTCATTATGATGTTCACTGGTTATTTTTCCCATTAATTGATGCAGTTTCTTCTCTACATCGATGGTCTTTACAATTTGGCCTGTTTTTGTAGTGGCTAGTACCAGTTCTTTCTTTCTGTGTTTAGTGCTTCCTTCAGGAGCTCCTGTAAGGCAGGCCTGGTGGAGACAAAATCTCTCAGCATTTGCTTGTCTGTAAAGGATTTTATTTCTCCTTCACTTATGAAGCTTAGTTCGGCTGGATATGAAATTCTGGGTTGAAAATTCTTTTCTTTAAGAATGTTGAATATTTGCCCCCACTCTCTTCTGGCTTGTAGGGTTTCTGCCGAGAGATCCACTGTTAGTCTGATGGGCTTCCCTTTGTAGGTAACCTGAACTTTCTCTCTGGCTGCCCTTAACATTTTCCCTTTCATTTCAACTTTGGTGAATCTGATAATTATGTGTCTTGGGGTTGCTCTTCTCAAGGAGTATCTTTGTGGTGTTCTCTGTATTTCTGAATTTGAATGTTGGCCTGTCTTGTTAGGTTGGGGAAGTTCTCCTGCCTAATATGCTGAAGAGTGTTTTCCAACTTGGTTCCATTCTCCCCATCACTTTCAGGCACACCAATCAAATGTAGATTTGGTCTTTTCACATAGTCCCATATTTCTTGGAGGCTTTGTTCGTTTCTTTTTACTCTTTTTTCTCTAACCTTGTTTTCTTGCTTTATTTCATCAATTTGATCTTCAATCATTGATACCCTTTCTTCCACTTAATAGAATCGGCTATTGATGTTTGTGCATGCCTCACGAAGTTCTCGTGCCATGGTTTTCAGCTCCATCAGGTCATTTAAGGTCCTCTCTACACTGTTTATTCTAGTTAGCCATTCATCTAATCTTTTTTCAAGGTTTTTAGCTTCCTTGTGATGGGTTTTAACATCCTCCTTTAGCTCGGAGAAGTTTGTTATTACCAACCTTCTGAAGCTTACTTCTGTCAACTCATCAAAGTCATTCTCCGTCCAGCTTTGTTCCGTTGCTGGCGAGGAGCTGTGATCCTTTGGAGGAGAAGAGGCACTCTGATTTTTAGAATTTTCAGCTTTTCTGCTCTGGTTTCTTCCCACCTTTGTGGTTTTGTCTACCTTTGGTCTTTGATGTTGGTGACCTACAGATGGGATTTTGGTGTAGATGACCTTTTTGTTGACATTGATGCTATTTCTTTCTGTTTGTTAGTTTTCCTTCTAATGGTCAGGTCCCTCAGCTGCAGGTCTGTTGGAATTTGTGGGAGGTCCACTCCAGACCCTGTTTCCCTGGGTATCACCAGTGGAGGCTGCAGAACAGCAAATATTGCAGAACAGCAAATATTGCTGCCTGATCCTCCCTCTGGAAGGGTCATCCCAGAGGGGCAGCCGCCTATATGAAGTGTCTGTTGGCCCCTTCTGGGAGGTGTCTCCCAGTTAGGCTACATGGGGATCAGGGATCCACTTGAGGAGGCAGTCTGTCCCTTCTCAGAGCTCAAATGTCATGCTGGGAGAACCACTGCTCTCTTCAGAGCTGTCAGACAGGGATGTTTAAGTCTGCAGAAGTTGTCTGCTGTCTTTTGTTCAGCTATGCTCTGCCCACAGAGGTGGAGTCTAGAGGCAGTAGGCTTTGTTGAGCTGCAGTGGACTCTGCCAAGTTTGGGCTTCCTGGACACTTTGTTTACCTACTCAAGCCTCAGCAATGGCTGATACCCCTCCCCCAGCCAGGCTGCCACCTTGCAGATTGATCTCAGACTGCTGCGCTAGCAGTGAGCAAGGCTCTGTGGGCATGGGAACTGTCGAGCCAGGCACAGGAGAGAATCATCTTGTCTGCCGATTCTAAGACCTTGGGAAAAGTGCAATATTTGGGTAGGAGTGCCCCATTTTTCCAGGTAGTCTGTCACAGCATCCCTTGGCTAGGAAAGGGAAATCCCTCGACTCCTTGCTCTTCTTGGGCAGGGGCAACGCCCCGCCCTGCTTCAGCTCGCCTTCCATGGGCTGTACCCACTGTCCAACCAGTCCCAGTGAGATGAACCAGGTACCTCAGTTGGAAATGCAGAAATCACCCATCTTCTGCATCGATCACACTGGGAGCTGCAGACTGGAGTTGTTCCTATTCGGCCATTTTGGCAAGTGTATTATTTTCTATTCCTATTTGAAAAGAAGATTAGAAACAGTTTACATTCACATAGAGTGGATAACAGGATTCATTTAGAATTTTTCTCCAGGGTTAAGTTTACTCTGTTTCCCTCCATCATAATATAGTAGAAGAGATTTGGACTTCCCATAAAATGTAACATTGGTCCAATCCATCAGTGATTTTATACTAGTCAGACAAAATAAGCAAAGTATAGCCAGCATGCTGGAAGGACCAAATAAACACATGTGCTACAAAGGACAGGAGGTAGACTCTGGAAAACTATATAAGTTCCAGAGGTTTCTGTCCATAAGTGACATGCTTCAAATTCCTCATTTCATTAAGAAGAGGAAGTTACAAGGTCAAGCCCAATATTCATTAGATTAAGAAGTATTTGCTCCCACCAGAAAGAGAAACATATTGTTTTAAAAATAATATAACTTATTGCAATAGATATAATCATTTTCTGTGTGTGTAAGATAAGACAATTATTTCTTTCTACTTGCATTGACAGGGTATGCATAGAAACAAAAGCATGATCAACAAGTACATGATCTTTTTGAAATTAAATTTCCTTAGTCTGTTACTGACAAACATTTAACTCATATTAAGAATGATAATTCAACTGACATGTTTGCATTTTAAGGTGCTCAAGGTGCTCCATTTGCCTGTTTTAAAGAAGTTAATTCTCTGCATGAAAGATCTGAAAACTGTGGTTTTAAAAATTCACAACCATTACCTTGTGAACGGAAGTACGTATGTAGAAAATGATTGCTTCTTTGAATCATAAAAATTATGTATTTTTATCAAGAGACACTAAGTAGTAATGAACACTAAAATTTTATAACATGGGAATATTTTCAAATACCAATGCATATATTTTTTCTATGAAATTCAGGATTTTCTATTATTTTCCCTTGATATCATCCTAAAAATGAGATTGGACAAAAAAAGGCTAATACTTAGTAACAGAAGAAGAAAATGGACACACACTGCCAGAAATCAGAACTGCTACTCTGTATTGAGAATTCAAATGAAGTTTTGTATTAAGTCTATAAATAGCAACAATCTTAAAGCAAACCTCAAGCTTTGATTTTTAAGACATAGAATTGTTGAGAAGAAGAAAGCTATTTTTGTTTTTGCTAATTGTGTCCAAAACATCAATATGTAAAGCATGGAAGTATCTATTAATAACTAAATTCAGACTATTGGGACATAGTGTTACTATAATCCATGTAATAAAGGGATTAATGAAATCCAATACTTTAATAAAGGAAGTGCCTACCCTGTAATGAATGCTTCCTTAATTTTATCTTCCTTAATTTCATTGAAAATTAAAGAGCCACAAAAATGTGTAACAGAGCCAGATTCACAAAATAAGAGAAAGGGAATAACATAAAAAATTTAGATATAATTAATTCAGGAAGAAGCAGACATTTAGTCTCAAAGACTTATAGCCAGGAAAAACCATAAAATCCTCAGGTAAGCACCACTATCAGTATTGTTCAAAGCAATACAGTTCCTTTATTAAGATGAGAAATGGATGAAGAAGGTATCCAGTTGGGTGGGACTAAAGTAGTATCCTCCATCACCCTCCTCCATATGTGAAATTACCATGGATTATGTATGCTGTGGAGAGGATGCAGAACTTCCCACTTGCCCCAACACAGGAGGATTAGTACATGGAAAGAAGAAAGGTGGAATCACAAAGAAAGTACTGATGAGTGGGGATCTCAGGAGGAGACCCGGCATAATCAGCCACACCTATTGGATATTAATACAGAGCACCAGGGGCCAGCAGTCTGAGTTACACCACAGTGGATCCCAACAAAGACAGAAGATGGTGGCATGACAACCCCACTTAATCTTCTTCCTGATGTCCAGAGGCACATCTGCTGCCTTTAATTTAAGATTATTCATGAAAAAAAGATAAAAGAAACCTGGAAGAAATTGTGAAAGTTAGCAAACATGACTCCATTGGACTTTGTCTTATGTGATAATAGTACATGAATTTTCCTGAAATAACATCATTAGATGAAACTAAAATTGAGTAGCATACATCGTCTGATCTAAACAGACTGTGATTCCTTTTCAAAAAAGAAAAAATAGTTCTAAGAATTTAACCATAAATGCAAATTTTGGGAAAATGGACTTGGAGGAAGAATTTGTACTCAGTAGCCAGACTGGAAGGATACATACATACCATGCAAGTCTGGTTTAGAATATATTCTATAGAAAGAGAGTGGAACCAAAATCAAAAGAAATATCAAGACCTGGGAAAGTAGAAAAGTTATGCTGGAGGGAAGACAAAAGTGAAATGTAATTTAGGTTCTGGCTCTTAATCTCATTTCAATCTTTACTTCTTGGTGTAATTAAGCTTATTCTTCTGAAAAAGCCTCAAATGATTCTTTTAGGACAAATGGGTAAAATTCCCTAAGAGGAGCCTTTTGATGAAATAATAATGACATGTTCAATAGAGACAGATCAATGGCTAAAAATGATTATTCTCATTGAGGATGAACTTTGATAATTAGATTTCAATAATTTCAAGTACAAAAAGTGACATAGATTATCTTTCAGAGCATAGTCTAGAAATACTCTTAGCCTCATAGAGAAGCCAGTATTTTACCCAATGATAGATTACAAATGGCAAAATACAGCATCCATGGGATAAGATAACCTTTGGTATGTTTGTGGCATAGAGGGGATCTAAAAGTTCTTAAATTTTTAACAGATAAGTTAAATATACTGGAAATATCTGTATGCTGGGAGAAATTGTGGATCAAAATGAAGGTTGTGTATACTGCAGAAATGTACTTTCTAGGTATCATGACAGGAATGATAGGCACAATAAAATGTGCAGAAAGAGAAATGCAATTAGCCACTCTCAGCAAATTTTGTTTAATAAGTGACCAGGCTGGCCAAGCTATATCAAAGTGGGGCAAGTGACTAATTCTCCCAGAGTGCGGTAAAATATGAACGGTCTAAGACAACTAGAACTTAGAGAACAAAATTGGGCTCTATAATGGGAATGAAGTCGTGTCTTCACGCTGAGTTAAGCATATACATTTCAATTCTGCTATTAAGACAGTTGCATTTAGTTGTTGTGCACCATAAAATAATGTTTCAGTTTGGCATTTTTCAGTTGTTATACTATCAATTAACAGTATGTTACCATTATGCAGTACTCACTTGGAACTTGTTATCATTAAGAGATAAACTGATAAGGAACTTTTTGCTTTCCACTTCCAGGGATGTTCTCTGTGGAAAATTAGCTTGTGTTCAGCCACATAAAAATGCTAATAAAAGTGACGCTCAATCTACAGTTTATTCATATATTCAAGACCATGTATGTGTATCTATAGCCACTGGTTCCTCCATGAGATCAGATGGAACAGACAATGCCTATGTGGCTGATGGCACCATGTGTGGTCCAGAAATGGTAACAAAATGTGATAATTTATATTCAGCTGTGTTAAATTATGTGAATTATCAGATACTGCATTCCATGATGACTATCACAATTATATTGAATGGATTTAAACTTGTGCTGGCATTTATTTCCCATGTGATATTTAAATGATAATTAAAACAAGCCTAAGTTATCCAATTACATTGCTTTTTGGATTAAAATATTATCAGTCCTTATGTTAAAAAAAGTACATATATATTTTAAGCACAAGATTTTACTAACTGACATCTGGTAGCTTTAAATTGTAAAATGCTAATACAAAGTTTTCCATTTTCCTTGCTTCACAAAGAACATTAATTGACTTTACATATTTCTTAAATTATTTGATTTGTATCTGATCAAAATATAAGTGTACAAAAGGTTTGGAACCAAACAAGAATCTATACTAGGAAACATTGCTATAGTGCATATACAGGCTCATGCGTATATACATGCATGAATATATATGAACACTTCTATCTATGTAGTCATAACATAAAAAGAGAACAAAAAGGCTTTAGAGACTTGGTTAATCTTGCAATATAAGGGCACATGTTCCAGAAAACATGATAATATGTGGCATCTGAAATTTCACATAGCAATTATAGAGTGTTGCACTTAAATGTCATTTGGTGCTTATTTGATGCGTAAAAATAAAACAAAACCTAGAAATGGAGGATGTGTTAGTCAATTGTTATATCTGGTGTCAGCAACCCTAATCCCTTGAGAAACCTCTATGTGGTAATCTGCTCCTGAAATGACTCTCAGTGATCCCACTTTCTGTCATTCATTCCTTTGTGTAATCCCTTCCTTTGCCTGTGGACTGCATCTAATGACTTGCTTTTAACAAATAAAATAGGGCAAAAGTTTTGGAATGTCACAAGATTAGAGGCTAGAGACAAGAAAGAAGATGAGAAAAGACAGTGACTTCTGTTTTGCATGGACTCTCTCCCTTGCCTTCTCAGATTGCTTGCTTTGCTGAAGCAAGCTGCCTTCAGGGAAAATCCTACAAGGAAAGCAATTGTGGGACAGTGAAAATCTGAGGCCCTCAGTTCAACAGCCTGTGAGGGACTGAATTCTGCCAAAACCACACAAGCAAGCTATGAAGAGCTTTGCAAGTCGGACCAACAGGTGAGACTACAGTCCCAGATAACAGATAACACCTTGATTTCAGCTTGTAAGAAGACTGTGAAGCAGAGAACCCAGATAAGATGTGCTTGAATTTCAGACTCACAGAAGTTGTGATATAATAAATACGTGTTGTTTAATGTCATTAATTTTGATGATAATTTGTTATGCAGCAACAGAAAACTGATGCAGATTTGATACCTGGACATATGGTGCTGCTGTAACAAATACCTTAAAAATTGGGTATGAATATAGAACCAGGAAGTGGGTAGAGACCAGAAGAATGTTGAAGACCAAGATACAGAAAGCTCATATTGCCTGAAACAGACCTTAAGTCCAACTCTGCACTTTGAGGACCTGGCTGGTGAGGGCTCAAGTGGTAGTTAGGAGTATATTATTGAAAACTGGAGGAAGTAAGGTTCTTTTTATTTAGTGGCAGAAAGCTTAGCATATTGTCTTCTACAGTACGTGGAAAGTAGAATGTGTACATAATAAACTTGGTGATCTAGCTTCTGACCCCTTCTAGCAGCTTATAATATAATAAGAAATGAAAGAAATTGAAGGAACTGTTAAATAAAACATAACCATTGATGATTTTGAAAATTCTTAACTTCTCCAGACAGCAAAAGATGCTAAAACAAAGAAATGGATTCCAAGAACTATCAGGAAAACATGGTCAAGAGTGAGACTGTAAAACATTAGTTAAGAGTAACAAAAGATTAGTCAAGATCAACTCTTAACTAATGTTCTACAGTAAAAGGCTCAGAGTGTTATTCAGTTAGACAAAAGTCCTTTAAAGAAAGAAAGGCTGCCTCACAGATCCTCTACATTTAAAAAAATAAGGCATCTGGAAACTTCAGAGCTTTGTCTTTCAGCCATCTCAGCAGAAGCCTAAGGTAGAAAACGGTTCATTTCAAAGATATTTGTGAGCATGTCTTTTGTTTAATGTAATAAATGCCAAAGAGATTCACGGGAGGTTCACAGTTTTTGAGAAACCGCCAGTAAAGAGAATACAAAATGAAAGGAGGCTATCGGACCCCCAAAATTCTACTGAGAGGAGGCAGGCTGAGATAATTGCTCAAAGTCAAATATGTGCTACCTTTCCTGAAAAAGGAAGGAATACTTAGAGAGTCAAATAAGAACTGAGAAGGCAGAACTGAGAGCCAAGAGAGATTTTTCACAGACCTTGAAACCCAAACAAGGAACTCCCAACATGAGCCCTTCTAGATATTTCAGAATTGCTATGGACCAGTAATTTCTTTTTAGTTCTAATCCCCCCCCACACACACTTTGAATTAAAATATCTATAAGTTATTCTATGCCTTTATTACCATTATATATTGATGGGCTTGGGGCCAGATTACTCTCTAGTGTCAAAGATCTACAAATGGAAGAGCTATACTCAAGGAAGTATACCCATGAACCTAATCCACAGCTGGAGCTAACTCAGATGAAGAAATAGGCTTTGAACTGATGCTATAATGAAATGAGAATGTTGGAGAGCTTGACAATTAATGTGGTTTTTATGTGTAAAAGATATGTAACATTAGAAGATAAACTGTGCTACTCAGCTTTTAAAATACCCTCCAATATCTTATCTTCTTCTGTTCACTCCCTTTATAATACACATTCCCTACCAACCAAGTGAGGGATGGACATAGTGACGTGCTTCTAACAAATAGAGTATGGAAAAAATGATGGAATATAACTTGCAACATTAGGATATAACAGACAGTATTTTCCGTTTTGTTCTCCTGCCCCTTCTTCATTGCTTACTTGGATGAAATAAGCTACCATGTTGAAGAGTAATACATGGGAAGAAAGTGAATATGGCCTCCATCCAAAAGACCTTGAGGAAATGAGCATGTTAATACAACAGCCTTCTGACAACCACGTGACAAATTTGGAAGCATATTCATTTTAGTAAAACCTTCAGATGAAATTGGCTGGCATTTTAATACCAGCCTATGCAAATATCTGAAGCAAAAGACCAAGCTATGCCATTCCCAGAATTCACCACTCACAGAAACTGCGATAATATGTGTATTGTTTCCTTTTCCTAAGATAAACTTCTAAGAGTGCAATTTCTGATTTGCAAGATAAGTATATTTTTGGTTCTATGAGAAACTGCTAGAATCTTTGGTCAAGTGGCTATGCCATTTTTCATTTCCACCAGCAGTGTGTAAGTGAGCAAGTTTCTTCATATCCTCAACAGCATTTGGTGTTAGCACTACTTATTATTTACTCATTTTTATATGTGCATAGTGATATTTGCATTCTTTAATGGTTAATTATATTCAGTATTTTCCATGAACTTATATGTCATCAGTGTATCCTCCTGAGTAAAGTATCTGATCATGTCTTTAGCCTATTTTTAATCAGATTGTCTTTTTTAAAAGTTCAATTTAATTGTTCTTTAAATATCCTAAAGGCAAGATGGCAAATATTTTCTCCTACTCTGTAGTTTGTTTTACTTACTTTTTTTGGTTGAATTGTATATTTAGTTTTATTTGACAAACAAAAATCACTTTGAAACACCAAGATGGGAGGATCAGTTGAGCTCAGGAGTTCAAGACCTGCCTGGGAAACATAGCGAGAACTTGTCTCTAAAAAATAATATTATTTTAAAAAATTAGCCAGGTATGGTGGCACACACCTGTAGTCCCAGCTACTTGGGAGGCTGAAGCAAGAGGATCTCTTGAACTCAGGAGATTGAAGCTTTCACACCACTACACTCCAGTCTGGTCAACAAAGCAAGACCTTATCTCAAAATAAATAAATACATAAAATAAATAGATAAATAAGTAAATAAACAATAAATTGATGAGTTTAGAGATAATTATACATCTGTGAAATGATCACTACCTTCCATGTCATAAGCTATTTATAACTTCCAAAATTTTTTCCCAATCTTTTATTTATTTATTTATTTATTTATTATTGTTACCTCTCTCATAGCAGCATTTAATATATGGCCTACCCCCTAGGAATTGTTTAAGTATATAATACATTATTGTTAACTATATAAACTGTGACATACAGTCAATCTCTAGGAATTACTTTTCTTGGATAACCAAAATGTTTTAACTGGGGCACGAACTGGGCCCCGAGGGCTCTGGGCAGCCCAATCTCAATGGATTTGCTGGTTACAGCCCATGCCACACCTCTCACAGGTTGGAATTGTGTGTCTGGGGCTCTCTTAGGCTAGAGTTTCACACCAGTGACTCAATCAGCCTGAGGTTGAGGGGGCAGTTCTGTACTCATTGTTGCCCTGGTGGGGGCTGTCTGTGCTGGCCTCACTCTTGCTCCCAGCTCCACTGGGCATTGCCCTAGTATGATGAGAGAAGAGACCACTTCTTATATAGTTTCTTATAATTTCTTATAATTTCTTGTTTGCTGAAAAGGTAAAAGTTAATAAGCAGAAGTGAAATTCATAGTCAGACAGCCCGGTGCCTCATTTCAGGCCTGGTAGTTAAAATTCAACCCCTGACCTCACCACTGTGTTATCCGTAGATTCTAGACATTGTATGAGGGAGCATTGTGAAACTCCCTGTTCTGTTCTGTTTCACTCTGATTACTGGTGCCTGCAGCCCCCAGTCACGTACCCCTCACTCGCTTAATTAATCACAACCCCCTCACTCTTTAAAGTTAGCCCTTAAAAGGGACAGGAATTACTTATTCAGGGAGCTCAGTTTCTAGTCAGCTGATGCTCCCAGCTGAATGAAGCTCTTCCCTTCCACAATCCAGTGTCTGAGGGATTTTGTCTACAACTCTTCCTGCTACAATGACAGTTCTCTGCCTGTGCTGTGAGGGCATCTGGGGCATCCTTTGAAGTCCAGGTGAAGGCAGCCATGCCTCCACAGCTTGTTCATTCTGGGCCCTTGTAAAGATGGCACCATGGAGACACCCCCAAGGTTGATTTGAATGTGCCGTCCAGAAGAACATCTCCTTGGGTCTCATCCCACCTGGGCCCAGTGGAGTCATACCCGATATGGTTGAAGAGCGGTTTGCTATAATGCAGGGAATAGAGACTTGAGGCATCATGAGCAGTAAGTGCCAAATTCCTGTGGGTGCATGAGGCTCCTCTTTTGACATAGATCTGCTCCTCAGGCCTGGTAACTCTGATCCTGTAATGGGAGTGGCAGCACTGATAATCTGTGAAATGCCTTCAGGGGCATTCTTCCATTGAGTTGGGGAATATCACCTGGTTTCTAAACCTTCTTAATCTCTTTTTCAAAAGGTGGCTTGGTCATATCCTTGGTGTTCGCTCCTGAACATGCTTTTTCATTCTTTACAACATGGCTGGGCTAAGAATTTTCCAAATTTTTTAGTTCTGCTTTCCTTTTCATTATAAATTCCGTGTTTAATATTTCTTTCTTTCTTCTCACACTTTACTATAAACTGATTTAAAAAAGCATGCTGCACCCTCCACCATCTGCTAACATATTTCTTCTTCTGTGAAGTATCTTATTTCATGGCTCAGAAATCCCACCTTCCACAAAACACTAGGACACAAACACAATTTAGCCAAGTTCTTTGACACTTTATAACAAAGATCGTCTTTCCCTCATTTTCCGGTACCTTGGTCCTCATTTCAATTGAGACCTCATCAAAATGGCTTTCACCTTCCATTTTCCTACCAATGCTCTGATCACAACCAGCTAGGTAACCTGTGAGAAAACTGAGGTTTTCTCTAAAGCTGTCCTTTTCTTCTGAGCCCTCACCAGAATCATCCTTAATTCTCCACTTACAGCAATGCAGGCTTTTTCTAGCAAGCACTTCCAAACCTTTTTCAGCCTCCGGTCAGTAGTGAGTTCCAAAGCCACTTCCACATCTTTAGGTATTTTTTATGGCAACATTCCACCTCTCGGTACCAATTTCTGTCTTAGTGCACTCATGCTGCTATAATGAAATAGCTGAGATTGGGTAATTTACAAACAAAAGGAACGTACTGCTTAACAGTTTTTGAGGCTGGGAAGTCCAAGATCAAAGTGCCAGCAGATTTAGTGCCTGGTTAGGACTCATTATCTGCTTCAAAGTTGGTACCTTACCGTGTCCTCGCATGACAGAAAGGGTGAACAAGCTCCATTGAACCTCTTTTATTAAGGCGCTAATCTCATTCATGGGGATTCTACCCTTGTGACCTAATCGCCTTCTACGGGATCCACTTTTTAATATGATTGCACTGGAGATTAGGTTTCAACAGGTGAATTTTGGGGAACACAAATATTCCGACCACAGCATGTTAATATCTTGGTTAAAGTGTTTCCTTTTTCATTTCTAAAATGACTATAGCTTGTTTATCTCTTTTGTTCTTAAATGATTACAATTTCTGACATACGAAAAACAACATTAATTAAGAAAAATTATTTTCAGACTCAGATATTTTTTATTCATTATTTGCTTTTAAGAAATGCGTAGGAATCAGAACTCTGTGCAATTGGAAGTTTCTTTGTTGAACTATTAGTTATTGCACATCACTTGCAGTGTATTATGTGACTAAAGGTATGTTTCCATTACTTTGTTTGGTGCATATTCATATGAAGCCAAGAGATCTAAGGGGAATTTGTTGAAAGTTAGCTAAGAGTGCCTTCATCACAGGATGTTGACCACATTGATTTTTTAAAATAGATTCCTATTTTTTTTTACTTGAAATATCTTTTGTCCAACTAGACTTCCAGAATGGATTGCAGAAATACAGATATTAAGTGAAACATGTTCAGTTATAATATTAGTATGTATTTTAATATAAAGCTATTTTTCACATGCCCATGTGGCCTTTTGCACCTATATATAGGAAGTTCTTGTGCTACTTAGAATACGATAGAAAATAATCTCAAAAACATTGAAAATATGTCTATGCAATATTCACATAAATTTAGACGCATACTTAAATGGCCATGCATGGCACTTTATTCTGTTTCCTAAAATTATTTACAATGCATAATTTGTCTTCTTATTTTGATCATCAATGTATAACTTTAAATTAAGCTGATGATCCAGTGAGAAATGGTAGTTAACTTAAGAGTTCATCAATTGATTATTAATTTCTTGTCATCTCCCTTCCTCTTACATACACTGGTCTAAATTAGACAATTTTATTCTATTGTACTGTATTTTAGGTTCAGGAGGCATATGTGCAGATTTGTTACATGGGTAAATTACATGACACTGAGGCTTGGTGTACAAATGATTCCATCACCAAGGTAGTGAGCATAGTACCCAATAAGTAGCCTCCCAACCCAGGCCCCTTTCCCCATCCTCCCATTTCAAGCAGTCCCAGTATCTATTGTTCCATTTTTTTACTGCCATGTGTATTTAATGTTTAGCTCCCACTTATAAGTGAGAACATGCAGTATTTAGTTTTCTGTTCCTGCATTAGTTTGCTTAGGATAATATCCTCCAGTTGCATCCATGTTGCTGCAGAGGACATTATTTCATTCTTTTTGTGTGACTGCATAGTATTCCATGGTGTGTGCGCACCCTGTTTTCTTTATCCAGCCCACCATTAATGGGCGTCTTCATTGATTCATGTCTTTGCTATTGTGAATAGTGCTGTAATAAACATATGAATACATGTGTCTTTTTGGTAGAAGGACTTATTTTCCTTTGGATGTATATCAATAGTGGTATTGCTGGGTCAAATTGTAGCTCTGTTTTAAGTTCAAGGAGTAATTTCCAAAGTGCTTTCCACAATGGTTGAACTAATTTACATTTCCACCAGCAGTTAATAAATGTTGCCATTTCTCTGCAGCCTTACTGGCCTGCTATTTTTGGACTTTAACTGATGTGAGATGGTACCTCATTGTGGTTTTGATTTGCATGTCTCTAATGATTAGTGATGATGAACTTTTTTTTCTATTTCTTCTTTTTAACTTTTATTTTTAAGTTCAGGGGTACATGTGAAGGTTTGTTACATAGCTAAACTTGTGTCATGAGGGTTGTTGTAAAGATTATTTCATCACCCAGGTATTAAGCCTAGTACCCATTAGTTCTTTTTTCTGAACTTCTCCCTCCTCCCAGCCTCCACCCTACCAAAGACCCCACTGTGTGTTGTTCCCTTCTATGTGTCCATGTGTTCTCATTATTCAGCTCCCACTTGTAAGTGAGAACATGCAGTATTTAGTTTTCTATTCCTGCATTAGTTTGCTAAGAATAATGACCTCCAGCTCCATCCATGTCCCTGCAGAAGACATGACCTCATTTTTTTTATGTCTGCATAGTATTCCATAGTGTATATGTAGCACATTTTCTTTATCCAATCTGTCATTGATGGGCATTTAAGTTGATGCCATGTCTTTGTTATTGTGAAGAGTGCTGCAATGAACATACATGTGCCCTTATACTAGACTGATCTATATTCCTTTGGGTATATAACCAGTAATGGGATTGTTCTGTCTTTAAAACTTGGAGGAATCACCACGTTGTCTTCCACAATGATTGAACTAATTTACATTCCCACTAATAGTGTGTAAGCATTCCTTTTTCTCCACAACTTTGACAGCATCTGTTAATTTTTTCACTTTTTAGTAATAGCCTTTCTGACTGGTATGAGATGGTATCTCACTTTGGTTTTGATTTGCATTTTCTTAATGCTCGATGATGTTGAGCTTTTTTTCCATGTTTCTTGGCTGCATGTATGTCTTCTTTTGAAAAGTATCTGTTCATGTTCTTTGGCCACTTTTTAATGGCTTTTTTTTTCTTGTAACTTTGTTTAAGTTCTTTATAGATGCTGGGTATTATACTTTTGTCATATACATAGTTTGCAAATATTTTCTGCCATTCTGTAGGCTGGTCTGTTTAACTCTGTTTGGTTTCTTTTGCTGTGCAGAAGTTCTTTAGTTAAATTAGATCTCATTTGTTAATTTTTGCTTTTGTTGCAATTGCTTTTGGCATCTGCATCATGAAATCATTGCCTGCGCCTATGTCTTAAATGGTATTGCCAGGGTTTTTATAGTTTTGGGTTTTACATTTAAATCTTTAATCTGTCTTAAGTTAATTTCTGTGTGTGGTGTAAGGAAGCAGTCCAGTTTCAATATTCTCTATATGGCTAGCCATTTATCCCGGCATCATTTATTGAATAGAATATCCTTTGCCCATTGCTTGTTTTTGTCAGGTTTGTCAAAGATTAGATTGTAGTAAATGTGTGGTCTTGTTTCTGGGTTCTCTGTTCTGTTCCTTTGGTCTCTGTGTCTGTTTTTGAATCAGTACCATGCTGTTTTGGTTACTGTAGCCCTGTAGGATAGTTTGAAGTCAGGCAGCATGATGCTTCCAGCTTTGTTCGCTTTGCATAGGATTGCATTGGCTATTCAGGCTCATTTTTTGTTTTATGTGAAAGTTGAAATAATAGTTTTTTCTAGTTCTGTGAAGAATCTCAGTGGTGGTTTAATGAGAGTGACATTGAACCTAAAAATTGCCCTGGGCAATGTGGCCATTTCAGCTATATTGATTCTTCCTGTCCTTGAGCATGGAATGTGTTTCTATTTGTTTATGTCATCTGTGATTTCTTTGAGCAGCGTTTTGTAGCTCTCCTTGTAGAGATCTTTCACCTCCCTAGTTCGCTGTATTCCTAGGTATTCTGTGTGTGTGTGCGGCAGCTGTGAATGGGAGTACATTCCTGATTTGACTCTGTTGACTGTTGGCTCATTTGTCTGTTGGTGTATGGGAATGCTAGTGATTTTTGCACATTGATTTTGTATTCGGAGACTTTGCTGAAGTTGTTTATCAGCTTAGGAAGCTTTTGCGCTGAGAGGATGGTCCTTTGAGGTTGAGCTCCAGTTGGGCTGGAGTTGCCAAAGTGCTCTCAGACTGCTGGCAATACCACTCCATAGGAGATGGTGGAGTCATGGGTGTAGGTGTGCTGGTGGGTGTGGCAGGTGTGCCACTAGGGCAGAGGCACTCCAGCATGTGGCACCATGGGCAGGGGTGCTTAGGAGGGGATTACAGGAGCATGGCAAGTGGAAGGTGTGTGCACTCTAGTAGGGGTCACCCTGGGCAGTAGGGGTGCTCTGTTGGAGGTCCCATGGGCAGGGGGCACTTCAGCAGGTGTAGTGGGAATGTCATAGGTGGGAGGTGCTACAGTGGGTGGTGCTGCAGGTAGGAGGCCTAATTTGGACAATTTTATAATCTTCATATGGCATATACAATTTTTTTCTTTTTATACTGTGAAAAAATATACATAATGTAAATTTACATTTCTACCCATTTTCAAGTGGACAATTCATTAATTACATTTGTATTGTTGTGCAACTGTCACTACTACTTACATACAGCACATTTTTTGTCATCCCAAACTGAAACTCTGTACCCATTAAAAAATAAATCCTTGTTATTCTCTCCCCACCAACCAAATGTTGGTGAGGGTGAAGAGAAAAGGAAACACACACGATTGGTGGGGATGTAAATTAGTTCAGCCACTGTGAAAAGCAGTTTGGAGATTTCTCAAAGAACTTAAAACAATTACCATTTGACCCAACCATCCCACTTCTGGGTATACGCTCAAAGGAAAATTATTCACTCTATCAAAGAGACACAAGCATTTGTATGTTCATTGTGAAACTATTCACAATAGCAAAGACATGGATGGAATCAACCTTGAAGCCCATCAATAGTAGATTGGATTTTTAAAAATGTACACCATGGAATACTATGCAGTCCTAAAAAAGAATGAAATCATGTCCTTTGCAGAAACATGAATGAAGCTAAAGGTTATTACCCTAAGGAAATAATGCAAGAACCAGATGATATATATGCATCTCTTACACGCATATATTAAATCACTGCTTAATGTTTTTTCTTGTTTTATATGAAACAAGAAAAGTTTATAAGGTACAATGTACCTTAAAATATGTACCATTTGTGTATATCAATTAATGTAATTCACTGCACGTATACAACGTATAATGATCATATCTAACTAGCAAGCTCATCACCTGAAACTTTTAAAATACAAAAAGTAACCCATGTTAGCGAGAATGCAGAGAAAGGGTAACTCTTATACACTGTTTGTGACAATGCAAATTAGTACAGCTAATATGGAAAACAGTATGGTGTTTCTTCTAAAACTAAAAATAGAGCTACCATGTGATCCAGCCATCCCACTACTGGGTGTTTATTCAAAGAAAAGGAAATAAGTATATTGAAGAGATAGTTGTGGCAATAAACTCCCATGTTTATTGCCACACTATTCACAATAACCAAACTATGGAATCAACGTAATTGCTCATTAATGGATGAATGGATAAAGAAAATGTGGTACATACACACAACAGAATCATTATTTAGTGATAAACAAATAAAATCATGTTATTTGCAGAACATGGATGAACTTGGAGACCATTGTATTAACTGAATTAAGCCAAACACAGATAAATAAATATCATATATTCTTACTCATACATGGAAGCTAAAAATAGTCTTGGATATCTTTTTATTTTTTGCTGAAATGCTCTGGCTAGAGCATCTGATATTTGCTGAATATGAGGGACAAAAGTGAGTTGACATATGCAACTTATAATCTATAAATTGGTTTTATGCAGATTTGAGGAAGTAATTAAAAAGCTAATTTTTATTCATGTTTAGTATTGTTATGTTGTGAACGACTTAAACAGATTTTATGGTGACACTTTGAAATAAAAAAGAAGCTTGCAAAGTCAGAAAAAAATAGAAAAACATAAATGAGGCAAAACACCACATATCTGGGTGATTATTCACCACCATATTACACATTTTGCCATAATAAAAGTTTTACAAGAAATAAATATTGTTCTTGCCATATTATTCTGAGGAATCTTATAACAAAGATTCAAAATTTATGAATTATACTTAAAACCTAAACAAAATGATTTCTGTTCCAATTTTTGAGAAGACAAGTCATTAACATCTAATCAATTATTCATAACAAAACATTAACATAATATAGAAAACTCATACGATGAGTGTCTCAATCCAATGCAAGCTATAAGTATAAAAACTGAAACTATATATAACCTTTACATTAACCATGTCAGGGCAAATGCTGTCAGTTTTTTTGCTTGCAATTACTTTGTTGTTTAGATTTTTGTATTTTTGTATCAATAAATTAAGATAATGTTAATCATATTAATATTAGTCATATTAATATTACTAAAAGTCTTTCAACTTAAGCATCTCTTATACATATATAGAAATCATTAATGTTTTTTCTTGTTTTATATGACATTTGTGAATTGTAAAATTTTTGTTTGTTTTGTTTTAGTACTGTGTAAATAAAACCTGCAGAAAAGTTCATTTAATGGGATATAACTGTAATGCCACCACAAAATGCAAAGGGAAAGGGGTAAGTCACTTTTGTATCTGAATTGCATGTTATTCTTGTGGGTAATTCAAATAAACATCTGTTTATGAGGATTGAGAGTCTAGGTTGACTTGCCTAGCTCTGGTAGACTAATATAAAGAAAATTAACTGACCTAATTTCAAACTATATAACATATTAAGTGAATTGTACCAGATACGTATTGAACTGTAAGCAGTCACAACTTAGTAATATGTTTAAATAAAAACATTTATTCTTCTTCAACACAAATAAATGCATTTTTACTTATATCATGAACATATTTCTTCTCCCACACACATTTAATAATTAAGGCATATGAGTATACAATATTTTACAGAGTATACTTAAAAACACGTTGACATATCAGGGAATATTTTTTTCTCATTGAGAGACTTCCAATAGGAAATGCAACTTCACGCAAAAAGCTTTTTTTATTTCTTCTGAATTGTCTATTTTAATCTGGTAATTTAAATTTGTTACTTTTATATTGCAGTTCCATTTATTAAAATTTATAATTTGAGTTTTAAAAAATTATTTTCCTAAAAGAAAATCAGTGTGTGATATAGCCAACATTGTAAGAGTAACCTCAAATTCACCAGAATGCATTAATATTTAATTCTATAATTTCTAAAATAGTTGGATTCAGAGGATATAAAATGCTACTACATTGTCAGTAATTTGCCATCAGTTATTAACAAAGAAAATAGCCACATTTTAATGTTTTTTTTTCTGTAATTATAATTTTTGGCTTGAATTTTTTACTTCCTCTGTTACATTTTAGTTCTTCAGCCTTATTATTTTTTACAATATCTCAACACAAAGTTATGCAATATCTCAACACAAAGTTATACGTTTTTTGTATAACTTTATACATATCTGATATGTGTAACTTATATACATTTTTATACATTATCAATTTTTGCTACCATGTTTCATTGGGTTCACAATTGTTTTCTTAATATATTATTATTTACGTTCAGTTGTTGTTTTACTTCTACTTTTTAGATTTTTTTGATAAAACCTTTTACTATGAAATATTACATTCATAAAGGAAATACATAAGGTAAAACTTCCATATTTATTTAATTTATATTTCTACATATGTTATATTTTGTAGTTAAAATGTTTAAAAAGAAAAACGACTTAAAAATAATTATAAGTAATAGAAATCTTACTGAGTCTAAGCAAATTTGCATAGACTTTCTAATGACAGGTCTCAATAGACAGCTTTATCATTTATCATTCCAGTTCAATTTTATTAGCATGTAGGTGTTCTGAAATACCATTATTCATGAAATGTTGCCAGTTATAATAGAGTTGTTCTCTTTTTATTAATGATATACTTTTCATTAGTTGCCATGAACATTTATAATTTATTACTCTGAAAATTAGTAATCTAAGCATCAGTATAAAGAAGTTAAGAACATAACAGAATATTAAATTCAGACTTTTATGCATGATTCAATATAAGTGGTAGATATTCTTGCCTTGTCCTTATTGTGAAAGAAAAAATTTCAAGGCTTCACATTTTAGAGTAATATTTGCAGAATATTTTTTATTATAATTTTCAATTAAAATTATTCTTTTATTTCTAGTTTGTTTTCTATTATGAATAAGTGTTAAATTTTACCAAAGACTTTTTCTGCATCTATTGACTTTACTCTATGATTTTCCCCTTTAATCTGTTAATGTACAAATATATTTATTGATTTTTAAAATAGTAAGCCAACTTTAATTCCCAGAATAAAACCAACCATGACCTGTTTTTAGTTCAATTTTTGAGTATTTTATTTGATATAAATGTTTCTATCTTATGGATTTGATAGTTTTATATCTTGTACTTTACGTTTCTGATTTTGTATCAAGGTTATGCTATTTTGGTGGTGCTTCTTCATTGTGTATTTTCTATAGTAGCTTTAAAAAAATTAGCAGACATTTTTCAGAGCAACGTTTGGTTTACATAAAAACAAGCACCAAGTACAGTGGACTACAATATATCTGCTCCCTCTCCCTCTCTGCTTCCCCTATTATTTTACATCTTGCCTTAGAGGGATGCCCTATAATTCCTGTGCTACTAATTATACATTATTATTAACTACTGTCTACAGTTTACATTGAGTTTAATTCTTTGTACATTCTATGGGTCCTAAAAATATATAGGTCTTTCAAAATATGCGTCTTAAAAAATATATGTGTCTTAAAAATATGTTTCCATTATTACAGTATCATACAGAATAGTTTCACTGTGCTAAGAATGCCCTGTGATCCACATATTTAGCCCTTCATCCTTTTCCATAAACTCCTAGAAACCCATGAACTTTTTACTGTTTCTTAGTAATATTTATTTATGATCCCTCCATGTCTTTTCATGGCTTTATGGCTTATTTGCTTTTATCATTGAATAATATTCCACTGTACAGATGTACCACAGTGTGTTTGATCATTCATCTATTAAAGGACAATGTGGGTTTTTCTTTTTCCATTTTGGGCAATTGTGAATAATGTTGCTATAAACACTCATTTACAGGTTTTGGTGTGGACATAAGTTTTTATTTCAGTTGGGTAAATACCAAGGAGCACAATTACTGAGTCATATAATAGCAGCATGTTTGTTTAGTTTTGTAGGAAATTACTAAATTGTCTTTCAAAGTAGATGTATCATTTTGCGTTCTCACCAACAGTGAATGAGAGTTCTTGTGGCTTGACATACTCACCAGCATTTGGTGTTTTCAGCGATTGGGATTTTAAGCATTCTAATTATTTAGTGGTAACTCAATGTTGTTTTAATTTGCAGCTCTCTAATGACATATGATGTTGAGCATCTTTTATTACACTTTTTTGAAATATGTATATCTTCTATGATGAAGCATCTTAATCTTTTGCCTGTTTTTTTAAAAATATATCCTCCATTATCCCCTTCCCCTAGCCCCTGGTATCCACTATTCTACTTGAGGTTTATATGAATTGACTACTCTAGATACCTCATATAATTGGTATTATACAATATTTGTCCTTTTGTGACTAGCTTATTTCACTTAGCATGATATTTTCAAGCTCCATCCATGTTGTATCATGTAGCAAAATTTCATTCTTTTTAAGCTGAAAACTATATCATTGTATGTATATACCACATTTTGTTCATCCATTGATTTGCCTCTACCTTCTGGCTGTTGTAAATAATATTGCTATGAACATTGGTATACAAGTATCTGTTCAGGTCTCTGTTTTCATTTCAATTATTCTGGGTATATGGCCAGAAGAATTGCTGGAGCATATGGTAATTCTATTTTCAATTTTTTTCAGAATCACCATATTATTTGCCACAGTCTCATCAACAATGCAAGCACAGGGGTTCCAATTTCTCTACATCCTGCCCAATATTTATTTTTATTTTTTAATAATAACCATCTTAATAGTTGCAAAATGGAATTATCACTGTAGTTTTGATTTCCATTTCCCTAGTGATTAGCAAAGTTGAGCTTTATTTCCCTTATTGGCAATCCATATACCTTTAGATGATTTTCTATTCAAGTCCTTTGAGAATTTTTAAATTGTGCTTCCTTTTTATTATTGAGTTTTAGAATTATTTATATATTTTGGATATTAATTCCTTATCATATATGTGATTTGCTATTTTTCCATTCTAAATGTTGTCTTTTCACTGTCTTGATAATATGTTTTGTGTACAAAAGTTTTTAATTTTGATGATGTTTATTTATTTTTTCTTTTGTTGCCTGGTCTTCTGTTTAATATTAAAGAAATCATCAAATCTAATGTCATGAAGCTTTTCCCTTATGTTTATCTCTAAGAGCTTTAACTTTTTAACTCTTCCTTCAGTTAGATCTTTTATCCATTTTGAGTTAATGTTGGTATATGTTTGAGATAAGAGTCTAACTATATTTTTACATATGGATATACACTTTTCCCAGCATTTGTTGAAACAATTGTCATTTACCCATTGAATGGTCATGGAAGCCTTGACAGAAATAATTTGACTGTAAATGTTAGGGTTAATTTCTGGGCTCTCTATTCTCCATTTGTCTATATGTCTGTCTTCATGCCAAACCACATTGTTTTCATTATTGTGGCTTTGCAGGAAGTTTTGTCCTCAGGAAGTATAAGTTATTCAACTTTATTCTTTCTTTGAAAAAACTTTTAAGGCTACCTGAAGTGCCTTGGGATTCCATATGAACTTTGTGATGCATTTTTCAATTTGTGCAAAAAAGCATCATTGGAATTTTGATCAAGATTGTTATGAATCTGTAGATTGGCTTGGGTAGTATTGTCATCTTGACAATATTAAGTCTTTCAAATCATGAACATGAGATGTTTTTAAATTTATATCTTCTTTAACTTCAGCAATGGTTTGTAATTTTGAGTGTATATGTCTTGTCTCTCCTTGGTTTTAAGTTTGTTCTTAAGTAGTATTCTATTCTTTCTAATAATATTGTAAATGGTATTGTTTTCTCAATTTCCTTTTTGGGTTACGCATTGCTAGCCAGTGTATTAAAATGCAGCTATTTATTGTATGTGTGTTGATTTTGTATCCTGCAACTTTGTTAATTTATTAGTCTAAGATGTTTTTGTGGGATTTTTAGGGTTTTCTACATATAAGACTACATTATCTGCAAATATATTTTATGTTATTCTTTCTTTCCAATTTGGTTGCCTTTTTATTTCTTTTTCTTGCCTAATTGCTTTGGCTAAAATTTTGCTGTATAACATAAATTTTTGTATGTTGTGTTTTTATTTACATTTCTCAAAATATTTTCCAATTTTCCTTGTGATTTCTTTCTTGAATGACTGGTTG
Organism: Homo sapiens; assembly: GCF_000001405.40. NCBI lineage: Eukaryota > Metazoa > Chordata > Mammalia > Primates > Hominidae > Homo > Homo sapiens. The sequence continues at coordinate 39,697,489 of NC_000008.11, forward strand.
ATTTAAAAGGTAGTGAATTTTTTCACATCATTTATTTTGTCTTCTATATATTTTAAACATCAGAAACACAATAATTATTGTTTTCTACAGTCAACATTTATTTATTCTTGCTTAATCATATATTTACTCTTTCTATTTCTTGCATTCCTTTCTATATTTCTGTGTTTATTTCTGTTAAAAATTTTCCTCAGCCTGAAGAAAGTATGGTGGCTAAAATTAACATTTTTTCTGATAAGTGTTTTTTTGAATGTTTTATCTTTAGGTCAGAATTTTCTTTCAGTAGTTTAAAAAATATAATCTGTTTTATATTGACTTACATGATCTCTTCTGAGAAGTCAGATGCATTTTACTTTTGCTTCTTGAGGAACACCTGCTTTTAATGTTTTCTTTTTGACATTGGTGTTCAAGTGTTTGCATATGATTTGCTCAAGTGTAGTTTTCATCATACTCGTAACTTACAGAGCTACTGGATTCTACTAAGGATTATCTTTCTTAAGTTTTGGACATTTTTAAATCATTACTTAATTTTGCTTTTTCTATATTCTCTATTTAATCCTTTTGGGATTAAATTTACACCAAATTTATGGTTTTGTACTGTGTTCCAAATACATGTTAGATTTTATTCTGAATCTCTCAAGCTTTCATTCTTTGTTCTTCAATCTGGGTGTTTTAAAGCTATTTTCTAGTTCTATTATTATTCCGCCATTTCTAATTTGCTTTTACAGCCTTGTATTGTGTTCCTGACTTACTCATATTATTTTTCCATTTTTAAATTTCTTTACTTTTAATAGATTTCAATTGTGTGGGGAAATTTCATCTTCTCTATTTTTAGAATTTATTAATCAATTTTTCTCATATCTAAGCCATAATTATTTGGCATATTCTTTTTATATCCTTGTAAAGTCTATATAATTTGTAGTGATAACTCCACTTTTTTCCTGGTATTGTTAATTTATGTATTATCTTTTATTGTATTGACACCCAGCTAGTGTCCACTGGAGACCCTTTTGGTGAATTGCTTGGTGTGTGAGAAAATACCCCAACACATCAGGAGTCACAGAAGTGTTCTTTGTTGATTACATTAATTTTCTGCTACCTCTCACAGTAGTTTCAATTGCCTGATTTTCTTCTTGATACCTTTCTATTTCCTTACAAACCTCCTTAAATAATTTGCAATGGAATGTTTAACAATGATGGTAAGTTTTACAAGAGAGGCTTTATAGTTTTCTCTTGGCAGAAATAGTGTGGGTCTGATTAGTTTAAATCCATTTATGGATTGAGCTATGTAAATACAAGTTCATAGCTTTATAAATCTAAGACACAGTTTTATAAATCTCTTACACCATATTTCAATGGTGTAAGTATCTAAATCTTTCACCTAAAAAACTGCAGCATCTTTATCTCCTCAGCATCAAGAAACTCTAAGAATTACAGCAGTGCTTTAGAGAAATTTTTGAATTAGATTTTAGCTTAAGAATATGGAAAATGTGTTTAGGGAGATAATGGCTGTATGATCTAGCCCTTCACAACTCCACTTTCCAACCCCTGCATTTCAAGAAAATGATAATAATTCTGTTGTTTATTTTTGTCTCCTAAAAATTGCCCTGATTACTGTCAAGCTGGAGTTATACTTCTAAATGTGCCAAATTGGTAAGGGCCTCTTTGAAAAGAGGACAATCATTAGTTTGAAATTATCATTCCTTAAAGAACTAACAAGTCTCACTTGTTTTTTATGGTTTTTCAGGTTAGTAATTGCATGTTGAATTATTCTAAAGTTTAATAATGTACATCATATTCATTCTACGTTCATGGAAGCTTCCAATATTTGCTTAACTTGCTAAAAAATTTAGGAAGAAAGACTTTAATTTTATTGAATTATTTTTTATTATTTAATTATATCATGTGTTTTTTTCCATTAATATCTTACTTGAATGAATCGTATTAGTGAATTTCCTAAAGCTGAATGATATTTTAATTTTTAGGATAAACCCTCCTTAGTTTTGGTTTATTATTTTTTAATACACAAGTGAGATGTGTGGTGTTAATATTATATATGAATTTGTCTTCTTAAATATTCTGTGTGTAGAATTTTGGGGGCTAATATGAGATGTTTTATGATCTTGATATAAAAATAATGCAATACTTATAAATCACAGTTTTTCATCTAATAACTGGACCACATTTATACTGCTGATTGAATACAAGTGTGCCACAAGGTATTGAGTCTGATGGCCTGCAGGTGATGAGGTTGTAGAGTAAATATTGTTTCAATGAGAAGGATCTTCAAGGAGTGACAGAGCAGAGCAGAATGTGATAATGGGACCCTATTGCCCCAGGAGGCAGCAATGATGATTAGAAAAATCTTGAAATTTCTGATATTTCCCAATGAGCTGAGGATATCCAAAGAAGTACACAACCACCTGTGCAATTTTTTCAGAAATTGGTTGTAGAATGTATGTGAACAAGAGGGACACAAAGATTACAGAGAAATGTATTTTCTGGACACTCAGAGTGCATAGGGTGTAAAACAATGTGAAATGGGGGACTGAATTGGCCAGAATATTCTATCTGTGTGTGATTTATGCCACTTTGATAACACTTAAATTAACTACAATGTGATTTTTCTTAAAGTGCTTGCGTATTCTAGAAATTAAAGTTATGGCATTACTTGGAAAATGGCATTAAAAATTGATTTTTAAGAAAATCACATAATGACTAGAAATTTTAACATCAAATTTATCAACAAATAAAAAAGAATGTTGTTGAAGCTTAAAATGATTTTGTCATGAATTGTAAATGGATGTACAGTAATTTCATTTTATAATTGCTTACTTATGTAAGCAGTTTTCTCATTCAGAATTTTATAGAGCTTATCTGCCTTCTTGGTATTTCTTGGTCAGATGTATGTGACAAAGTAAACACAAAAATTGATATGAGAATATTCACAAAGCAATTCTCTCACTGAAATTTGAAAAAATGTACATAGAACTTTTAGGTAAATGTAATAGTAAATATGTGTCCTAATATTTTGCAATTAATCTTTCTTAAACAATTATGAAATCTAATGAAAATTTAATAAAAATAAGTTATCCCAACCTCTTTTTATTTAACTAATTGGGACATTATTAACATTAATTTCTGAGTATAACATGACATGAAAAATTCAGATTATAGAGTGATTTGGGGCACTTTTTATATTTTGTTTCTATGATATTAACAAGGTTAAGTGATGTAAATATATTTGCTTCCAAAATTTTTGCTCAAAACTAATAATGAATTTGGACCTGCTGTTCATATAAGACTTAGAATAATTGATTATATTTTTAACTTTTTTCCCCACCAACTATTGACCCATATAAGTTAAAATTTATTGTAATGCACTTTGGGAGGCCGAGGCGGGCGGATCACGAGGTCAGGAGATCGAGACCATCCTGGCTAAAAAAAACGGTGAAACCCCGTCTCTACTAAAAATACAAAAAATTAGCCGGGCGTAGTGGCGGGCGCCTGTAGTCCCAGCTACTTGGGAGGCTGAGGCAGGAGAATGGCGTGAACCCGGGAGGCGGAGCTTGCAGTGAGCCGAGATCCCGCCACTGCACTCCAGCCTGGGCGACAGAGCAAGACTCTGTCTCAAAAAAAAAAAAAAAAAAAAAAAAAAAAAAAATTTATTGTAATGTAAGTGTGGTTTATTTGTATTTTATACAAAAATTGGCAATTTTATCCATCTTTTAATTTTTTTCTAAAAATATATATATTTCTGATATATCTTATTTTTCTCATTCTTATTTTTGATATGTTCATTGTGGTGTATTTTTGCTTGTATTTGCTGATATATGTATTGTTCTATTTCCTAATTTTCACTTTTTAATACGTTGTGATAATCTCTGCGTTTTATTAAGATGCTTGTTGTTCCTGACATTATATGCTCTTTATTTCTTATATTTCACATTTAAACATTTTTCTTTTTTATTTTTTAATTAATTATGAATTAATTTTTGGCTTTCATTTTAAGTTCAAGGGTACGTGTGAAAGGATGTGCAGTTTTGTTACATAGGTGAACATGTGTCATGGGAATTTGTGATACTGCTTATTTCATCACCCAGGTATTAAGCCTAGTATCCATTAGTTATTTCTCCTGACCCACTCCTCCTCCCAATCTCTGCACTCAGGTGGGCCCCACTGTGTGTTGTTCCCCTCTATGTGTCCATGTGTTGTCATCATTTCGTTCCCACTTATAAGTGAGAACGTGTGGTATTTGATTTTCTGTTCCTGTGTTTGTTTGCCAAGGATAATGGCCTCCAGCTCCATCCATGTCCCAGCAAAGGACATGATCTCATACTTTTTATGGGTGCATAGTATTCCATGGTGTATATGTACCACATTTTGTTTATTAAGTCTATCCTTGATGGGCATTTAGGTTGATTCCATGTATTTGCTATTGTGACTAGTGCTGCAATGCACATATGCCTGCATGTGTCTTTATAATAGAATGAGTTACATTCCTTTGGGTATATACCCAGAAATAGGATTGCTGGGTTGAATGGGATTTCTGTCTTTGGGTCTTTGAGGAATCACCACACTGTCTTCCACAGTGGCTGAACTAATTAACACTCCCACCAACAGTGTATAAGTATTCCTTTTACTCTACAACCTTGCCAGCATCTGTTATTTTTTGACTTCTTAATAACAGCCATTCTGACTGGCATGAAATGGTATCTCATTGTGGTCTTGATTTTTATTTCTCTAATGATTAGTGATGTTAGGCTTTTCTTTTTTTCATATAACTGTTGGCTGCATGTATGTCTTTTTTGAAAAGTTTCTGTTCATGTCATTTGCCCACTTTTTAATGGGGTTTTTTTTCTTCTTCTTGTAAATTTAAGTTCCTATCAATGCTGGATATTAGACCTTTTTCAGATACATAGTTTGCAAATATTTTCTCCCATTCTGTAGGTTGTCTGTTTACTCTGTTGATAGCTTCTTTTGCTGTATGGAAGCTCTTTGATAATATCCCATTTGTCAATTTTTGCTTTTGTTTCAATTGCTTTTGGCATCTGCATCATGAAATCTTTTCCGGTGCCTATGTCTTGAATGATATTGCCTAGGTCTTATTCCAAGGTTTTTGTAGTTTTGGATTTTAATTTTAAGTCTTTAGTCCATCTTAAGTTGATTTTTGTATATGGTGTAAGGAAGGGGTTCAGTTTCAGTTTTCTGCACATGGCTAGCCAGTTATCTCAGCACCATTTGTTGAATAGAGTATCCACTCCCCATTGTTTGTTTCTGTCAAGTCTGTTGAAGATTAGATAGTTGTCGGTGTGTGATCTTATGTCTGGGTTCTCTGCTGTTCCATAGGTCTATGTGTTCTGTCCTTGTACCAGTACTATGCAGTTTTGATTACTGTAGTCCTGTGATATAGTTTGAAGTCAGGTAGTTTGATGCCTCCAGCTTTGTTCTTTTTGCATAGGATTGCCCTGGCCATTTGGACTCTTTTTTGCTTCCCAGTGAATTTTAAAATAGTTTTCTCTAGTTCTGTGAAGCAAGTCAATGTTAATTTAACGGGAATAGCGTTGAATCTATAAATAGCTTTGGGCAGTGAGGCTGTTTTCACAATATTGATTCTTCCTATCCGTGAGCATGGAATGTTTTTCTATTTATTTGTGTCATCTGCGATTTCTTTGAGCAATGTTTTGTAGTTCTTGTAGAGACCTTTCACCTGCCTAGTTAGCTGTATTCCTAGGTATTTTATTCTTTTTGTGGCAATTGTGAATGGGACTTCATTAGCGATTTGGCTCTCCGGTTGACTGTTGTTGGTGTATCAGAATGCTAGCAATTTTTGTACATTGATTTTGTATCCTGAGATTTTGCTAAAGTTGCTTATCAGCTTAAGAAGCTTTGAGGCTGAGACAATGAGGTTATTTTTAGATATAGGATCATGTCATCCACAAAGCGGAATAATTTACCTTCCTTTCTTTCTATTTTAATGCCTTTATTTCTTTGTCTTGCCTGATTGCCCTGCCCAGAACTGTAAATATTATGTTAAATAGGATTGGTGAGAGAGGGCACCTTAGCTCATGTCAGTTTTCAAGGGGAAATGCTTCCAGCTTTTGCCCGTTGATTATGATGTTAGCGGTGGTTTTGTCATACATGGCTCTTATTGTTTTGAGGTATGTTCCTTCAATAGCTAGTTTATTGAGAGTTTTTAACTTGAAGGGATGTTGAATTTTATCAGAAGTCTTTTCTGAAGGAAATTGAGACACACACAAAAACATTCAAAAGATTAACCAATTCAGGAGTTTATTTTTTGAAAAAATTATAAGATAAATAGACCACTAGCTATACTAACCAAGAAGAAAAAAGAGAAGATTCAAGTACACACAATCAGAAATGATAAAGGGGATATTACTACTGACTGCACAGAAATACAAACAACCATCAGAGAATATTATAAACACCTCTATGCACATGAACTAGAAAATTAGAAGAAATGGATAAATTCCTGGACACATACACTCTCCCAAGAATGAACAAAGAAGAAATTGAATCATTGAAAAGACCAATAACAAGCTCTGAAATTGGGGCAGTAATAAATAGCCTACCAACCAAAAAAAGCCCAGGACGATAGATTCACAGGTGATTTCTACCTGAGGTACAAAGATGAGCTAGTACAATTACTACTGAAACTATTCCATAAAATTGGAAAGGAACCCCTCCCTAACTCATTCTATGAGGACAGCATCATCCTGATACCAAAATCTGGCAGACACACAACAAAAAATTAAAATTTTAGGCCTATATCTTGCATGAACATCGATGCAAAAATCCTCAACAAAATACTGGTCAACCGAATTCAGAAGCACATCAAAAAAGATTATCCACCACAATCAGATAGTCTTCATCTCCAGGATGCAAGGTTGGTTCAACATATGGAAATCAATAGATGTGATTCATCACAAACAGAACTAAAGACAAAAAAGTCACAATTATCTCAAAAGATGCAGAAAAGGCTTTTGATAAAATTCAACATATTTTTAAATTTTTTATAAATCATTTTTAATGTTTTATCTTGCCATGACTTGCCCTAATACAAAGTAAATTCTATAATGTGACTTTGTTTTGGCTGGGGGGACCCAGTTACCTGGGAATTTAAACATTTGTTTATTTTTCCTTATTTGTCTATTTCTATGCCCAGCTTAAATAAAACCTATTTCTCCTTGCACATGCAGTTAAGGAGTGACCATTTTTGCGTTTGTACCTACCCTTTACCTTAAACCTCTAACATTTGTGGTTTTTGGGAAATTTTGGACTTGAAGTTCCTGATATTATAAGGGATTATATGCATTATGTTAATTCTGTGTTTTAATTATGTTACAGTTAAAAGTATAATATATTTAGATTTGCTATCCTAGATCAAATGTTCTGTCATGTCCTTGTACTTTCATTGGAGGGGTGGGGAACTGGAATAACACTTTGTCAAAATATAGAGGAAAATATATATGTGAGAAAAATGCATTCAGAGATATTGATATCAAAATGCAAAAATGATGGTCTTCCATATAAATGACACTTTTGTTGTTTAAGAATTATCATATTTTGGTTTACCTTCAAACTTTGAAACTCTGTTCTACTATACAGTTGCTTTTAGTCTTATCAGGGAAGAGTCTGATGCTATATTTAGTCTCTTTACACTGTACAGAATATTGTAAGGTTATCTTTTGTGTGTGTGTGTTCTTAGAATTATTGCCAGGTTTGTGCTTGTTTTTCTTTTTTCTCTTTGAAAGCCAATTGTTACGTAATCTCCAAAATATCACATTTTTCTTCATCTTTTGTTAAAGTTGCTTTGCTCTGGCTGTTTCTTTTAAAGTTAGCAAAATAAAATAATGAGATCCTTTGTTGTCTTCAGGTATTTAAATAAATGTAAATTAATTCAGAAGAGGATTACAGTTGTGGAATAAGTTAAAAAGATGCATAAGGCCAGATCACTCCTGTAATCCTAGCAATTTGAGAAGCTGATGCAGGAGGATTACTTGAGCCCAGGAGTTCAAGACCAGCCTGGGCAACAAAGCAAGACCCCATCTAAAAAAATGCATAAGTGATATTCTGATTCTAATATTAAAATACTGTGCACTAAATATTCAACAACAAAAACATGGATATATAAAATAGAATACTACTTCATGGAATTCAGGGCTATAATTCAAACTCACTTTATTGAAATCTCTTTTGATATGTAGAAAAGAGGTAATCAATTTCAATATACTATATAAACAATTTAGCAAAATGAGTATAAACGGAAAGGACACAATATCTATAGGAAAATTACAGGGAATACTTACACTACTGAATATTATGAGTCTAATTTTAAAAATGTGCCTGTGATGTCTTTATACATACAGGTATGAGAAGAAGTTCATAGTATATTGTTATGGATATTATTTGGTAAAAATCTATTAATGTATATGTGTGTTTGTGGATGTGAGTACGTGTATTTATAAATGCATTTGATATATATGAATGAAACACAACATCTTTAGCAGTTGGAAATGGGACTTAAATAGTGGTTGAGGAATTTCAGTTCTATACACTTTTATTGTTTGAATTTTACAAAATATGTACTTACTTGTTTTATTTTAAAATGAAAATACTAAACTGTAGAAATATTAATACAAAGGCATGAATAATACAGAAACATTGTCAAATGTTAACTTCTAGCAATGGAATCTTATCATAAAGTTGTATTTGATTGTTGATTTATAATATTTGCTTTGCACGTATGTTATTTTATTATGGAAAATATAATTACTTAAAAATAAAATGCACATTATTGACCAATAATGTCAAATGTTGAAAAGGGGCTAGGATAAGGAATTAAAGTGGCCAATCAATTGATATTTATTTTATCACAATGCTTTCTATAGACATTGAAGTGCATGAATAGAAAATGTCCAAATAGTGACAACGAATGTTTCCAAATTACTAAATAACAGTCATTTAAAAAATTTAACCTCTCTGAATATGAAGACTACAACTTTATTAAATCTTATTTTTTAAAGACGATTGAAGAAGACATTAATGCTCAATGTATAGAGGCCAGAAATAAACTTTCATGTAGGTATTTTCCCATTTGGCCATTATGTTGTCAAAATTTTTACCACTTTTTCTAACCTATTTCTCACATTATATAGTCATAATAATCTTAAGAAAAAATAATTATTCTATGAAATTTAGTTATTTATATCAGATACAAAGACCTTGTATCAGATACAAAGACTAAGACGACTCAAACTGTTTCTGTATTTTTCTGTTTCAGATATGTAATAATTTTGGTAATTGTCAATGCTTCCCTGGACATAGACCTCCAGATTGTAAATTCCAGTTTGGTTCCCCAGGGGGTAGTATTGATGATGGAAATTTTCAGAAATCTGGTAAGTGGAAATTTGTTTTCTAAAGCAAAATAGAAGGTTGTTTTATATAAAGTTAATTAAACAAATCTAAGTCATCTTGAATGGTAGCTTCATCTACATTGCAGCAGTCCCTCCTTATTTGTGGGGGATACATTCTAAAACCCTCAGTGGATGCCTGAAACTGTAGATAGCACCAAGCTCTAAATGTACTATGCTTTTTCCTACATATACATATCTATGATAAAGATCATCAATCAGGCTCAGTAACAGCAATGATTAACTGTCCTTCCATGTTTTATGCCATGGCGTCTCCTTTGCACTTTCATTACTGAAGGTTCTACTGGTCTTCCAGAAGACTGTGGCAGCTGATTTTTCATCAGGAGACACAGCCTCTCCAGCAATTTTTCTGTTTTTCAGTCCAAACCTATTCCTGAATCTGTGTAACCATCTCTTACTTGCAATAAATGGCTCACTCATTTCAGGGAATTCCATGCTGAAGTATTTCTACAGGTTCAAATGTCTTCTGGTGCAACACGTTGCTGTTAATCAGAACACATGTTCTGTTCATGTCTTCTACTTACAAATTTAACGTCTTTTCTGTCTTAACTAAGCATTTATCATGCACTGCAGTCTTAACTTTTGTAGTTTGAGATACATCTGCAAAACCGGTGCAGATTTCTTTCTCCTTCTTTACAATTTTATGAACTGAAGATTTGTTTTAACCATAGATCTTAGCAATGAATAGTTTCCTTATTAAGGAAAATATGTATGTATGTATATTTTGTATGTATATTTTGTCAAATGTTGACATTTGTAAATATAAACATACAAGTTTATTTAAATATTAAAATATTTATAATTATACACATACATTTGTAAGTATACATATACATTTTTTCTTACATATATTTGGAATATGTATGTATTAATATATTTTCCTTATGAAGTCAAGAGTATTCACCCTTTTCCTTAAGGAAAGAATTTTTGGCTTCTCTTTGGCATATACAAATTGATGACCTCACTAATCTTGCCCTTTGGGATCATGATGAAGTAAAATAAGGGTGATTTGAACAAAGCACTGTAACGGCGTAACAGTCAACCTGATAACCAAGATGGCAAAGTGACTAATGGACAGGTAGCATATACGGCATGTATTCGTTGGACTTGGGAATGATTCAGGTCCTGGGTGAGACAGAAAGGAATGATGGGAGATTTCATCATGCTACCCAGAACAGCATGCAGTTTAAAACTTATGAATTGTTGATTTCTGGAATTTTTCATTTAATATTTTCAGACAGTGGTTGCCCATGGTTGTTACTGTGCAACCAAAACTGTAGATAAGGGGGAGTGACTACTGTAATCTTACACAGTATTTATAATCAGATATTCTCAGAGATATTCAGCTTCAATTAACTCAAATAAGTTAGAACACAGTACTAATAAGTTTCAACAAATGTCATTCAACAAAATTTTTAAAATCTCATATAGAATTATAAAAACTAAACAAATGATTTTCATTCCATATTATTACAAACTCTGTAGGCTGTTAAAAAACAACTGTACCATACAGTATTTATTCTCAATGAACTCTGGAAAAACATGGCAAAATATAAATGCATTTCTTTAAGAAAGGATAGTAAAATCAATCACATTTTGAGTGATGGCATAACATTTATGCTTTATTTGTTTCTATAAATGAAGGCAATATTGAAACAGGATAGTTCCCTGACCCCTTCTTGGGACCTGTGACAGGGGTGCCTCATTTGCACAACCTGCAGTTCTCAACTCCTTGCAGGAGGGAGTGTGTGAGTGAATGAGGTGGGAACTGGAGTGCATGAGCACTGGAACCAGCTGGCTGCTTCAGTGCCAGCAGTGGCAAACTCCACTCACTGGGACCTGATGTGTTCCAACCCTTGAAGGAGGGAGAACACAGGTGCAGGGTGCAGGGGCCAAGGTGCAGGGGCCAAGGTGAGCACTTTTGAGCATTGGCAGGAGCAAACACAGTGCGGGCCCTGCGCCCGCATCTGGAGAGGTTCCAGTGACCCTTGAAGCTCCAGAGGGCATGTTACAGTGCTCCTTTAGCTCTGCCATCTGCTAACAACTGTGAACAGCTCAGTGGGCCCTCTTCCTTTTCATGTGAGGTGGTAGCTCTCTGCCAGCAAGGGCAAAGAGCCAGTGTGACAGTCTTTTGCATCCGCACTCATGGCTCCCGAGCTCTTGTCTGGTGTCCAGGAAAAATGAAGTCATGTGAGCAAATTGAAGTATGGTAAATGCAGGGGATTTTATTGCTGATGAAAGTGGCTCTCAGTGGGAAGGGGAGCCGAAAAGGGGATGGGGTGGGAAGGTAATCTTCTCTTGAAGTCCAGCCATCTCCAGCCAGATTCTTCTCTGAAGTTATGCCATCAAGCTGTCCTTCTGAAATCAAGCCACTTCTCTTCAATGTCAAGCCATAGTCCCTGACGTCCAGCTGCTTCTCCTCTGTGCCAGCTGAGTCTGGGGTCTTTATAGGCACAGGATGGGGGTGGAATAGGACCATGGGTGGTTTAGGAAAAGGCAACATTCAAGTGAGAAAACAGGGATATTAGTTCTCACTTTGGGCTGCAGTCTCAGGCTTTTCAGCTTGAGGTTCAGCCTTAGTTGGGGACCTGCCTTTTTCTGCCTAAAATTTCTCTGCCTCCCATCTCTGTCAATATCATAGGCTACTTATTGATTCAATTATTCATTCATTCATACATTCCCTCCACAGACATGTTATTGGGTGTCTGGTGAGGCAATAAAATTGAGATTCACATTTTATAAAGTCCACCCAGGCAGCAATGTGGTAAATAGGTTTGGTGATGTGAGTCTTAATGAATGAAAATTACTGGAAAGCAGTAGCTTTAATTTTAAGGTCCCAAAGTAAACAATAAAAGGAAAAATAAGTTGCTACATAATATCAATTTTTGTGAATAACAATGAATAAAGGCATGTTGATCAATGTGTTTTATGTATGCACAGTTATAAAAAGTTTGCATGAAAATATCAGAGAATGAACAGAGCATGAAAATAATGCATTTAAGTTTGGATAGACAGAGGTTTAGTTATCTGTGGGAAAATTAATGTGACAATATCACTGCGTGTTTGATGCTGGTGTCGTTAAGGGTATCAGGGAATGGTCATACTTAGTTTATAGGTTGTTTAGCTAATCAAAGTAACTCATGGGATGATACAGTTGTGTAGAGTGAGATGAGATAAAAACACTGGAGATAACTTCTGTAAGCAACAGTGATTCAGAAACATCTCTGAGATTATTAATCTCTGAAAAAGAAGATTAAAAGGAACAGCAATAAGGACTTCCTTTTTTGGCTGTGACAGAATAATTCTAGAAAATTGTATGAGGTATTTGTCAACAAGTAAACAATTCTGACATTTGAGAAAGGAAAAATAGATGAAATGAGTTACATGTTTCTAAGGCAATATATATTTTTCTTGTATATACTTAAAGGGTAATTCAGATAAAAAATGAGAAAGAATGTACAGAAAAGACATTTGAAAAAATAATGACTCCAAATTTTCTCAACAAGTTGAAGAAAGTCAGTACTTGTATCCAAGAAGCTAAGTGAATCTCAGGCAAGATAAATATAAATAAACTTTTGTTCATGAAAACTACTTCTGTTAACAAGGCTGCAAGTCCAGGCTTTTTTACCCTAGACTGATTTCTTACCTTAGACTAGCCTGACCCAACTTCGTCAACATGGTAGTTCAACTAGGATGAAGCTATATTTGAAAGCCATTAGGTTTGCTGCTTCAGGGTGGGGTGGGAGGAAAAAGGGAATTACTATATTTGTTGGAGTATTGTTGATTACACTGGCAGTTATGTTGTCAGGAGAACATGGAGGACTAACTATCCTGCTAGGCTGATATAACAAGTATGTTTAGAACAAATGACAGAGCAGAAAATAACTAGGAATTTAACAAGGAAATTCAAAATTACGTGGATATATGGAAAATTTAGAATGCCATATGCATGATTATTGCAAGATTCATGCTAGAAAATATCAAAGAAGATAATGAGCTGTCACCTGAGGCTAATTCCTAGGCTCAGCGAAAGTCTGGCTCAGTGTAAAAGCAGTGCTCCAGCACAGACTCAGCCTGCACTGAATAGAAGAGTTAAGAGTTATTTTGTTTGTGCTTGTTTCCTTTGTTTTTTGGCTATGTACTTATTATTAGTATTAAAAATTAGCTCCTGTTTTCCAAAAAGTCACTGTCAAAACATTACCTGAACAAAAACTCTGGGAGTCAGACTTCAGTGACTACAAAGCCAAAAAATACAGTCTTTGCAAAAATAGCCTGGTAAGTCACTAAACAAATGAACTAATTAAGTCTTCAAAAATCAAGAAACTGGCAAACCCTGAGTAAGGTAGATGAGGAGATAATCAGAGTTTCCTTGTTATGACAGTCAAATAGCCAATTTTCAACAACAATGAAAATTCACAAGGCTTAAAAAGGAAAAGGAAAGCATGACCTATTCACGGGAACAAAATTAATTGACAGAAATCATCCCTGAGGAAGCTCAAAAATCAGACTTACAACGGCTTTAAAATGTACTCAAACACCTAAAGGAAAACATGGACAGAGAACTAAAGAAAATCAAGAAAAACATGTATGGACAAAATGAGAATATCAATAGAGATAGAAATTACTAAATGGAACTGAACAAATTCTGGAGCTGAATGGTACAATAACTAAAATTAAAAATTCACTACAAGGGTTTAAAAGTGAATTTGGGCAGAGAGAAAAAAGAAGCAGTAAACTTGTAGGCAGAACAATTGAAATGGTTGAATCTGAGGACCAGAAAGCAAAAAGAATGGAGAGATTTGATCAGGGCCCAAGAGACCTGAAGACCACTACCAAGTGGAACAACATTCTCATTTTGTGAGTACCATATGGAGAGAATAATGAAAGAAAGAGAGAGAAGGACTATTTGAAGACATAATGCCCCAAAACTTTTAAAATTTTATGAAAATCATAAATATACAAATCCAAGAAGCTTAATGAACTGCAAACAGGACAAATTCAGGGCACTGAACACTGGCGCAAGCACTAAAAAATATTAAAAATGAAGTATAACATGGAATAATATAAAATGGTCAACTAAAATCAGAGAAGGCCCCCCCCCGAGAAAAAAACAGTGAAAGATAAAAGATAAGAAAAACAAGGGCAATAAATAGCAAGGGCTAAAACAATAAAACAATAGATATTAATTCAAATATATCAATAATCACGTTCAATGTTAATATCCATCCCATAAACAGAACCAATGACAAAAACCACGATTATCTCAATAGATACAGAAAAGGCCTTTGATAAAATTCAACAGCCCTTCATGCTAAAAACTCTCAATAAACTAGGTATTGATGGAATGTATCACAAAACAATAAGAGCTATTTATGACAAATCCACAGCCAATATCATACCAAATGGGCAAAAACTGGAAGCATTCCCTTTGAAAACTGGCACAAGATAAGGATGCCCTCTCTCACCACTCCTATTCAACATAGTGTTGGAAGTTCTGGTCAGGGCAATCAGGCAAGATAAAGAAATAAAGGGTATTCAATTAGGGAAAGAGGAAGTCAAATTGTCCCTGTTTGCAGATGACATGATTGTATATTTAGAAAACCCCATTGTCTCAGCCAAAAATTGCCTTAAGCTGATAAGCAATTTCAGCAAAGTCTCAGGATACAAAATCAATGTGCAAAAATCACAAGCATTCCTATACAATAACAGACAAACAGAGCGCCAAATCATGAGTGAACTCCCATTCACAATTGCTTCAAAGAGAATAAAATACCAGGAATCCAACTTACAAGGGATGTAAAGGGCATCTGCAAGAAGAACTACAAACCACTGCTCAATAAAATAAAAGAGGATACAAAGAAATGGAAGAACAGTCCATGCTCATGAATAGGAAGAATCAGTATCGTGAAAATGGCCATACTGCCCAAAGTAATTTGTAGATTCAATGCCATCCCCATCAAGCTACCAATGAGTTTCTTCACAGAATTGGAAAAAACTACTTTAAATTTCATATGGAACCAAAAAAGAGCCCACATTGCCAAGACAATCCTAAGCAAAATGAACAAAGCTGGAGGCATCACCCTCCCTGACTTCCAACCATACTACAAGGTTACAGTAACCAAAAGAGCATGGTACTGGTACCAAAACAGATATATAGACCAATGGAACACAACAGAAACTTCAGAAATAACACCACACATCTACAACCATCTGATCTTTGACAAACCTGACAAAAACAAGAAATGGGGAAAGGATTCACTATTTAATAAACGGTGCTGGGAAAACTGGCTAGTCGCATGTAGAAAACTGAAACTGGATCCCTTCCTTACACCTTACACAAAAATTAATTCAAAATGGATTAAATACTTAAATGTTAGACCTAAAACCATAAAAAGCCTAGAAGAAAACCTAGGCAATACCATTCAGGACATAGGCATGGGCAAGGACTTCACGACTAAAACACGAAAAGCAATGGCAACAAAAGCCAAAATAGACAAATTGGATCTAATTAAACTAAAGAGCTTCTGCATGGCAAAAGAAACTACCATCCAGGTGAACAGGCAACCTACAGAATGGGAGGAAATTTTTGCAGTCTACCCTTCTGACAAAGTGCTAATATCCAGAATCTACAAAGAACACAAACAAATTTACAAGAAAAAAACAAACAACCCCATCAAAAAGTGGGCAAAGGATATCAATAGACACTTCTCAAAAGAAGCCATTTATGCAGCCAAAAAACACATGAAAAAATGCTCATCATCACTGGCCATCAGAGAAATGCAAATCAAAACCAAAATGAGATATCATCTCACACCAGTTAGAATGGCAATCATTAAAAAGTCAGGAAACAACAGATGCTGGAGAGGATGTGGAGAAATAGAACGCTTTTACACTTTTGGTGGGAGCATAAATTAGTTCAACCATTGTGGAAGTCAGTGTGGCGATTCCTCAAGGATCTAGATCTAGAATTACCATTTGACCCAGCCATCCCATTACTGGGTATATACCCAAAGGATTATAAATCATGCTACTATAAAGACACATGCACACATATGTTTATTGTGGCACTATTCACAATAGCAAAGACTTGGAACCAACCCAAATGTCCATCAATGATAGACTGGATTAAGAAACCGTGGCACATGTACACCATGGAATACTATGCACCCATAAAAAAGGATGAGTTCATGTCCTTTGCCGGGACATGGATGAAGCTGGAAACCATCATTCTGAGCAAACTATCACAGGACAGAAAACCAAGCACTGCATGTTCTCACTCATAGGTGGGAAGTGAACAATGAGATCACTTGGTTGCAGGGCAGGGAACATCACACACCAGGGCCTGTTGGGAGATGGGGGACTGGGTGAGGGATAGCATTAGGAGAAATACCTAATGTAAATGATGAGTTGATGGGTGCAGCAAACCAACATAGCACATGCATACCTATGTATCAAACCTGCATGTTGTGCACATGTACCCTAGAACTTAAAGTATAGTAACAATAAAAAAAGACAGAGACTGTCAGAGTATATCAGAAGAAATTTAATAAACAAGACCAAACTCTATGTTGTCTACAAGAAGCACCCTTTAAATGTAAAGACACAGGTAAATTAAAAGTAAAAAATTGGAGAAAGATCTTTGTGTGTGTGTAACACCAGTATCAAAATAAATGAGGCAAAATCTGATTGATAGAACTTCTAGGACAAATAGAAAAATCCTCTATAAGAGTTGACTAGTCTAACTCCCTTCTCTTAGTAATTGACACATCAACATGTAGAAAATCAGTAAGTATAGTAAGTCCTCACTTAATTCCATCAAGTTCTTCAAAACTGTGACTTGAAATGAAAGGACATACAATGAAACCATCTTTTCTCATCAATATTATAATGAAACATTGTTGAAAAAACAATTTTTTCTTTGAGGACCTGCTCATATTGTTTCACTTAAAGTTGCATTTTCCAAGAACTTGCAGACAGACAATGTTAAGTGAGAATTTACTGTATATAATTGACCTTAATACCATGATCAGTCAACTTGATCTAGTTATATTTAGAGAATATTCCATACAATGAGAGCAGAATAAACATTATTCTCAAGACCACACAGAACATTCTCAATTGTAGATCAAATTCTTTGTCTTACAATGTACCTTAACAAGCCTAAGCAATGAAATCCTACTATGTATGTTCTGAGACCAAAATGAAATTGAACTAGAAATCAGTAACAAAAAGAGAACTGTAAAGCCCTAAAATACTTGGAGATTAAGCAACAAATTCACAAATAACACATGGGTTAAAGTAGTCTCAAGAGAAATTTTAAAATAATTTTGAACTAAATAAAAATGAAATACAACCTATCAAAATTTGTGAGACCCATCAAATGCAAAACTTACAGAAAAATGCACAGCATGGAATGCGTATATAATATCTAAAGTCAGAAATTTAAGCTTTCACCTTAGCAAACTAGGGAAAGAAGGTTAAAGTAAATCCAAAATAAAGAAAAGAAAACAGTACAGTAAAAATTGATAAAATAGAAAAAAAAAAGCAAATCAATAAAGGAAAATCAATGAAAGACTGGTTCTTTGAAAACATCAGTTACATTGATAAACCTCTGGCCATACCAAGAAAAATGGAAAAAAGACATAACTTATTAGTATGAAAATGAAAGAAGGCTAACTGCTGATCAAATGAACATGTAAGCGGTAATAGAGAAATATTGTAAATAACCCTATTCTCAAATATTTTATAATCTTTATAAAAAAACAATTCATTGAACAACACAATAAAACAAAACTCACACAAGATGAAACAGATAATTCTAATAGGCCTATACATACTAAAAGAATTAAATCAATAATTAAAACCCTTCCGTTAAATAAGCTGTCAGGCCCAGATATAGCCACCGGTGAATATAACCAAACATTTAAGTAAGAAATTACGCTAATTCTCTGCAATACCTTTGAGGAAATAGAAGCAGGGGTGTGACTTCCTAACTCATTCGATAATGCCAGCATCGCCCCCAGTAGCAAAACCAGAAGACTTCACGAGGACGGGAAACTACAGACCAATGTCTCTCATCAATTTCTCATAATTGTTCAGATTTTATGTCTCTCCTTTCATTCCTGATTTTATTTATTTGCATTTTCTCTCTCTCTTTTTTCTAGGTAATGTTTTATCAATTTTGTTTGCCATTTTAAAAACAGCTTTTAGTTTCACTGATTTTTGTTTGTTTGTTTTTCTGTTTTCTATTTCATTTATTTCTGCTCTAATACTTGCTATTTTTTTTCTGCTAATTTTGGGCAAAGTTCATTTTTCTCTTTCTAGTTCTTTGAAGGGTAATGTTAGGTTGTTTATTTGAAATCTTTCTCTCTCATTTTTTAAAATGCAAGTGTTAATCACCATGAACCTCCCTGTTAGTGCTGCTTTTGCTGCAGCCCATAATTTTTGGCATGTTGCATATTCATATTCATTTGTCTTGAGGTATTTGTTTCCATTTTGTTTTCTTCTTTGACACAAAGATTGTTCACTAGTGTTTTGTTTCATTCCCACATTCTGTAAATTTTCAAGTTTTCCTTTTGCTATTGATTTCTACTTACATCCCCTTGTGATCTGAGAAGATACTTATTCTGATTTCAATCTTCTTAAATTTGTTAACTTTTATTTTTATGATATAACATTTGATCTGTCCTGGAGAAAGAGCTGTGTGAACTTGAGAGCAACACGCATTTTGCTGCTGTTGAGTGGAATATTTCGTGTATGTATGTTAGGTCCATTTGGTGTTTAGTATGATTCAAACTCTCTGTTTTCTTATTGATCTTCTGTTGGGATATTTTATATATTATTGAACATGTGACATTGAAGTCTCCTACCATCATTGTATTGATATCTATTTCTCCGTTTAGTTCAGTCACTGTTTGCTTTATATACTTATGTGGTCAGATGTTGGGTGCTCAGATGTCATACCTTTCTGGTGCATTGACTGTTTTATCATAACATAAAGACTTTGTCTACTGTGACACTTTTTGACAGTCTATTTTGTCTGATATAAGTCTGACCACTTATGCTCCATTTTGGCATTTGCATGGAATATTTTTATTTATGTATGTATTTGCATGGAATATCTTGTATTTATTTGCTTTGATTACTCTTTTTGTGTGTGTGAAATTTGTATAGTTGTGTGTTGCGTGTCTGTGATTAGCTACTTGTGGCTCATATAAAGTAACTTATAAAGTCCATTTTAAGCCATTAACAATCTAAGCTCAATCACATAAAAAAACTACACATTTACACCCTCCTCCACTCTGTGTTATTGTTGTCACAATTCACATCTATTCATATTGTGTATCTTGTAACGTATTTTTATAGTTATTTTTAATACTTTTGTCTTTTAACTTTTACAGTAAAATTAAAAGTGATTTACTCATCACCATTACAGCAACACTGTATTCTATTTTTGTCTCTATATTTATCTTTGCCAACTAGTTTTATAATTTTTTATCCTGACATTTTGCTGTTTAGCATCTTTTCATTTCAACCGGAAGAACTCCCTCTAGAATTTTTTGGTAAGGTAAATCTATTGGTGATGGATTCCCTTAATTTTGGTATGTTTGAGAAAGTCTTTACAAAAGAATGAGTTGGATTCTTATCTTACACCATACATACAGATGGACTCAAAATGAATTAAAGAAAAATGTGACCTATATATGTAAAACTCCTAGAAGAAAGCATGAGAGAAAAGATTCATTACATTGATCTTGGCAATGATTTCATTGTGGGACTATATCAAACTATAAAGCTCTATACAGCAAATGAAACAATCAACAGAGTGAAACCTATTGAGTGGGAGAAAATATTTGCAAACCATGTATCTGATAAAGAGTTAATATCCAAAATATATAAGAATATATAAGAAATCCCTATGACCTAATAGTGAAAACAAACAAAGAACAAAATACCTTATAACTTGTTTAAAAAATGGGTTGACTTGAGTAGACATTGCTTCAAGAAAACACACAAATGGCCAACAGGTATGTGAAAAAATATGCAAATAACACTAATCATCAAGGAAATAAAAATCAGAACCATGATGAGATATCACCTCATACCTGTCAGGATGACTATTATTTTTCAACAAATAAAGGATGTGAAGAACTTGGGACCCTTGCATACTGTTGGTAAGGATATAAAATGGTGCAGCTGTTATGAAAAACAGTATGGAGGTTCCTCAAAAATTGAAAATAGAACTGTCATATGATCCAGCCATCCCACCAATGGAGACATATTTAAAGAAATTAAAATTAGCATCCCAAAATTAACAATTTTGTATCCATCATAGCACTATTCACAATACTCAAGATGTGGAAACTACCTAAATGTTCATCAATAATGTGTGGGTAAAGGAAGTGTGGCATATACATGTAATGAAGGACTACTCAGCCTTTAAAATGAAAATTCTGCAATATGCAGTGACATGAATAAATCTTGAGTACATGATGCTAAGTGAAATAAGCTGTCAGAGAAAGACAAATGTTCCACAGTTCCACGTATGTGAAGTACCTAATATAGTCATATTCATATAATTAAAGAATAGAATGGTGGTTGTTGGGGTGGTAGTATGATGGGGTGGAAAATTACAAATTAATGGGCATAAAGTGTCAGTGAAGCAAGATGAGTAAGATCTAGAGATCTGCTGTACAACATTGTAGCTATAGTCAACAATAAGTACACTTAAAACTCTAACAATCTAGATCTCTCGTTAGGTAGGTGCTCTTCCTACACAAAAGAAAATAAAAAATTTCACAAAAAATAGCATCAGAAAATAAAATACTTGCAAATAAATTTAGCCAGAAAATGTGAGATTGTGCACTGGAAACTCCAAGTCATTACTGAGATAAATTAAAGAAGATTTAAATAAATGGAGAGGCATGCAATTTTCATAGATCAAAAGATTCACTATTGTTAAAAGAGCAGAAATCTCTAAATTTGTTTATCCATATAAGAAAATTTCTGTCAAAATCATCCATCAGGCTCTTTTGCAGAAGGTGATAAGCTGATTGTAAACCTTATTGTAAAACTCAAAGGACCAAGAATAGTTAAAATGACTTTGAAAAAAAAATGTTGGAGGAAATACACTGCCCAATATTGAAACTCACTATAAAGCTACAGTTATCAAGTCAGCGTGGTACTGTCATTAACAGACATACAGGTCAGTAAAATAGAATAAGAAACCAGAAATAGACATGCAAATATATGGAAAATGGATTTCTAATAAATGTTCAAAGCAATACAATGGATAAACTTTAGCTTTTTAAACAAATTGTGCTAGAATAATTATATATTTATATGTAAAAAAGATAAACTTAGAGCTGTATTTCACACCATGTTCAAAAATTAACTCAAAGTTGATTACAGACCAAAATTTAAAACTTCTAGAAGAAAACATAAGAGAAATCCTCAGGGACTTTGAGCGCAGATTTTGTAGATATGACACCAAAAATATGACCCCAAAATGTGATAAGTTGGACAACATAAAAAAATTAGGACTTTTGCTATTCAAAAGCCACTGTTAGGGGAATAAAAGGGCAAGCCACTGCCCCTTAACAAATATTTGTAAAATATATACCTGATAAAGTATTTGTATTCAGAATATATAGTGAATCCTTGAAACTTAATTTAAAAAACCAACTCTATAAAAAAGGGGGGCAAAATAAGCACATGTAAAGACGCCCAACAACATAGGTCATTGGAGAAATGCAAATTAAAATCACAAATAGATGCTACTCATTCCTTTAAAAATTGTTTACATTTAAAAGGGCTGACCACATTAACTTTGGCCAAGATGTGAGGGTAGGAACCATATACTGATATTTAAAACACTGATATTTAAAACAAAATTTATAGTTTCAGAGATTCTTAAGGAGGTAAATACAAATCACATAAATCAGCTATTATACAATTTACCCAGTAGAATAGAATGCTGATGCCCATACAAAGCCTTCCATATAAATGTATATAGTAACAATTTTTGTAATAGATAAAATCTGGTAACAATGTAAATATAAGTCAAAATCTATATAGTAACAATTTTTGTAATAGATAACATCTGGAAACAATGTAAATATAAATCAACAGATGATGGCTAAACAATGTGTAGTCTCTCAATACAGTGGAATACTATCAAATAATAAAAAGAAATAAACTGTTGTTATATACACCAATATGGATGAATCTCAACATTTATGCTAAATGAAACATGTTAGACTACAAAGAATACATACAGTCTTGTTCTATTTATATATAAGTATAAAAAATGAAAGCTAATTTATAATGAAAGAATGCAGACCAGATTAGTGACTGCCTGTGTGGGGAGTAGCAACATGGCAGGATCAATGGGCTTGGGAAATGTGTATGGATTATGGATATATGCATTGTTTGCATTTTTATGGTTTCATGGCGGTACACAAATAACAAAACCTATCAAATTATGCACTTAAAGTGTGGGCATTTATTTCATGTCAATCATCTCTCAGTAAAGCTGTTAAAATAACAAAATTAAAATAATTTATAAAAGAATTTACACTATTTTGTTGCCAACTCTCGGGCACTAGTTAAACCCATTCTTTATCAAATAAAATATTAGAAACACTTTATATTAAATGAAAAAACTAACACATCAAAACAAAAAATATTTAAAATATTTGCCTCATGGGGTTTACATTTGTGAGCTTTCATCCAACTGTACAGTGGTGTTTGCATTTCATTTTATATGAGGAATAACTATGAAAAGAAGAAAAATACCAAAGATAAGCAAAAATGAAGACACTCATTTACTACTAATAGGAATATAATGGATACAACCACTTAGGAAAATCACTGGAAATATTTACTAATGTTCAATGTGGGAATATGCAAGCATTGACACTTCCCGTGTATGCATATATCTGATTTTCAAACATAATGTTGACCAAAAGACATGCTGTAGAATATTCACAGCAGCACTATTCATAATACCCCAAATTTCAAACTACCCAAATGTCTGTCAGAATATCAGAAATTAATACCTGCTATTTCTATGCAAAGGTATAGTATGCATCAATTAGAATAAACATTTTGCAACTATAAGCAACAACATCTGTGAATTTCAAAAGTCAGTAATAATGAACAAAGTCAGAAAACAATGTGCATGCAGTATAATTCCATTTATATAACATTTAAAATCTGTCAAAAATGATCCACACTCACCCTATTCAATAAATGGTGCTGAGAAAGTTGGATAGCCACATGCAGAAGAAAAAATCTATGTATTTCAACATATACAAGAATTAACTCAAGACAGGTTAACAACTTAAATGTAAGACTTGAAAGTATAAAAGTTCTTACTGAAAACCTTTTCTGGACATTGGTATAGGCAAATAATTTATGACTCAAAGACCTCAAAAACAAATGCAACGAAAGTAAAAATGGACAAATGGGGCTTCTTAATTAACCTAAAAAGCATCTGCAAAGAAAAACTAATAATCAACAAAGTAAGTGGACAACCTACAGAATGAGGGAAAATATTTGCAAACTATATATCAACAAAGTACTGTTATCCAGAGTCTATAAGGAACTAAAACTCCAAAAGAAAAAATATAAACAACCCCATCAAAAAAATGGCAAAAGACATGAACAGACACTTTACAAAAGAAGACATCCAAGAGGCCAAAAAACATATGAAGAAATGATCAGCATCACTAATCATCAGAGAAATGCAAATTAAAACTACAATGAGTTATGTTATCAGGATGGTTAGTATTCAAAAGTCATAAAACAACAGATGTAGGTGAAGATGTGGAGAAAAGGGAACACTTTTATACTGCTGGTGGAAATGTACATTAGTACTATAACCATGGAAAACAGTATGAAGATTTCTTAAAGAACTAAAAATAGAACTACCACTCAATCCAGGAGTCCTACTACTTGCTAGCTACCCAAAAGAAGAGAAATCATTATACATCATATGTTCGTTGCAGAACTAGTCACAATAACAAAGTTATGGAATCAACCTAAGTGTCCATCAGTGGAGGACTGGATAAAGAACACATTATATATATATGCACACACATATATATTTATCATGTAATATATATTGATATCATATATATATCAATGGAGGACTGGATAAAGAACACATGGTGCATATATATTTATTTATATATAAAATATCTCCTCTCATTCTATAAGGTTGTCTGCCTACTTTGTTGGTTATACCGTGTGTGTGTGTGTGTGTGTGTGTGTGTATATATATATATATATATATATATATATATATATATATATATATGCCGTGTGTTTTTTATCCAGTCGTCCATTGATGAATACATATTTATATTTCTTTATATATATATCATGGAATACTACTGAGCCATAAAAAAATAAAACCATGTCTTTTGCAGCAACATGGATGGAACTGGAGGCATTAACCTAAGTGAAATAACTCAGAATCAGAAAGCCAAATACTGCATTGGCTCACTTATAAGTGGGAGCTAAACAATGGGTACACATGAACATTCACAGTGGAATAATAGACACTGGGGACTCCAAAACATTGGAAGGTGAAAGAGATATGAAGGGTGAAAAATTACCTATTGAATACAATGTACACTATTCCGATGATAGGTACACTAAAAGCCTAGACTTCACCACTGCACAATATATCCATGCAGCAAAACTGCACTTGTACCTCCTTAATCTATTTTTCAAAGTGTATACAACATGAAAAGATACAAGTATAGTTAATGTGTCTAAATTAATAGCAAGCCAAAATGAAAGGGAAATAAGATTCATGCTCTTAGAGGCAAAATTAGTGATTTTCTTTGGGAAAGACAGTGTCTGGTAAACTAAGTTGGGGAGTTATGTTTCCTAGATTTGTTGCTGGTTACATGGTCTTGTTCAATGTAAATGTCTTTTGAGCAGTACAACTTTATGGCACACATTTTTGTTACTATGTTATATACATCAATAAATTTCACTAAATAAATAATAATTAAACAAACCATGATCATTGTAACGTTTGGAGAGGAGAAGGATTAGGAAATGTCCTGCAGTGCTTTGGAATTATAACAGGATCCTTTTTGAGACCTGGAGAGTGGGTATGTGCATATTCATTTAGTTAACTCATTGCTGATTTTGCTAATATATTTACATATTGTATACTTCTCAGAATTGTGTGATATCTCAACTTTTTAAGTATTAAAAAAACAAAGGTAATAATATGCTTATAGAATGTCAATGAGTGGAAAGATATACACATACACACATGCACACAGATGCACATGTTATGTATAGATATATAGATATAGATGCGGATACAAGTATAGGTATAAGTATGAATTTTGTTTACATACATAGAATATAAACACTAGATGGAGAGAAATGAGTCATTTATAAATGGTTTTCTCTAAGGAAAAAACTGATTTGGCAAGCGAGTGGGATGGTGGTTTCTCAAAGTATACATTTTTTAAAATTGTAACTTAATCCCTATTACTGTATTAACTTGTAAAGTATTGATGTTACAAATAAGCTGAATGCAGCAAACAGCACTCTAAACATGTATACAGCAGGTTAATATTAAATAAATATGTGTAAATAAACAGAAAATCTATGAAAAATATAGCACTGTAGTTTGCATTTATGTTCTATTTTTCCTAGTAGTTTGCAATGCATTAAAACTTCATTATATATACACGTATATGATTAAGTGAAAAAATATAAATTTATTTAAATATCCACTGAGTCCCCACTAATTTATCATATGATTCATTTCTAGGTGACTTTTATACTGAAAAAGGCTACAATACACACTGGAACAACTGGTTTATTCTGAGTTTCTGCATTTTTCTGCCGTTTTTCATAGTTTTCACCACTGTGATCTTTAAAAGAAATGAAATAAGTAAATCATGTAACAGAGAGAATGCAGAGTATAATCGGTAAATATGATATAGAATCAATGTATTAGGTTTAATTATCCTAGTCATTAACCAGTGTCATGCATTTTATATAACATTTGTTATATTAATTCTTAAATATACTATTTTAAATCTAATGTAAGTGGTATCTTTATAATTTTGTGTTTCAATAATTTGTTATTATATTGGGGCAAGCCAAAATTCTCAATGTTCTAGAACTTTTCCTGATGAGTATCCTATGCTGTACCAAAGACTTACTAGGTCAGAAAAGAATATAGTTGGTAAATTATTTTAAGTGCCCTTCTAGTTAGATCTCATTACACATTGGTGTTGGTTTTACTTACCATTTTAATATCTTTGTTCTTGTAATCCGTTCAGATTTTCTGTTCTTTATTAAGTCATGTTTGGAAGCTTGTGAATTCAAAAATATGTCCCTTTCTTCAAAATTGTATAATTTGTTACACAAAGTTATTCGTAGTATTTTCTTGTAATCATTTTAATGTCTGTAGGGTCAGTATTGAATTATCATACTTTATTCCTAATTTTGTTTATTTGCATTTTCTTTTTTTTCTTGTTCAGACCGGTTAAAGGTTTGTTAATTTTGCTGATATTTTAAAAGATCCAACTTTTTGTTATAATTATTTTTTGCTAGTGTTATTCAGTTTTGTATTTCATTAATTACAGGTTAATATTTCTTATCTACTTTTTTTTCCTTGCTTGGGGATTGGCTAGTTCTTTTTCTAGTAGTTGTAAGGCCAATGCTTACATGATTGTTTTGAGATCTTTGTTTTTCTGATACAGGCATTTAAATCCGTAAATTTTCCCTTAGGCTTAGCTGCATTCTATACGTTTTGATAGCATATATTTTCATTTCCATTCAGTTCAAAATATTCTGTTTTTTCTTGTGAATTCTTCCCTTGGACTCATACATTAGTTAGAAGTATATTGTTTAATTCCCAAATATTTATAGATTTCCCAGGATTTTTGCCTTGTTAATTTTCAACTTAGTTGAGCTCTGATCACAAAATATACTTCATTTGATTTCAATCATTGTAAATTTAAAATTTTTTAAATTTTTTGAGAATTTTTATAGGCCTAGTATATAGTCTGTCCTGAAGACTGTTCCAAATACACTTGAATAGAAGGTGTATTTACTATTGTGAATACCCACTGCGTGGTGGGGAGTTCTATAGAATACAGGTAGGTCAAGGTGGTTGATGGTATCGTTTAAGTCTTCTATATCCTTGCTGATTTTTTGTCTAGTTATTCTATCAGTTTTATACCACTTCACGGAAGTATAATTGATATACAAATACGTATACATACTTAATATATACATCTTGATGAGTTTGGAAATAAGTATACCCCTTTAAACCATCATCACCATCAAGGCCATAAATATATCACCTCCCAAAGTTTCCTCCCAAATTTTATATTATTGTTGTTGCTTTACCAAGGTAAGAACACTTGATATAGATCTACCCTCTTAGCAAATATCAAGTATACAATACAGTATTGTTAGCTATAGGTACTGTGGTGTATAGTAGAGCTCCAGAATTTATCTTGCATAACTGAATCTTTGTACCCTTTAACCACCACCTTCCCATTCTCTGCTCCCGCATCTCTTGGCAACCACTGTTCTACTCTCTGCTTCTATGAATTTGATTATTTTTGAGTCCACATATAGTTAAGATCATGCAACTTTTGTCTGACATATTTCACACAAATTTTGTCTGGCATATTTCACTTGGCATAATGTCCTCTACATCTATTCATGAGATAACAAATAAGAGAATTTTCTTCATTGTTAAGGATGAGTAATCTTCCATTACATACATTTGGCACATTTTCTTTATCTATTTACCCATGATGGACATTTAGGTTGTTACCATATCATAGCTATTGTGAACAATGCTACAATGAACATGGAAGTGCGGATATCTCTTCAAGGTCCTGATTTCAAGTCCTTTGAATTCATACCCAGAAGTGAGGTTGTCACATCATATGGTAGTTCTATTTTTCATTTATGAAGAACCGTCATACTGTTTTCCATAATGGCTATACCAATTTATATTTCCACCAACATTGTACAAGAGTTTCTTTTTCTTCATGTCTTTACCAACCTTGCTCTCTTTTCCCTTTTTTCAATAACAACTATGTTAACCTAAGATGTAAAGTAAGCCATTCTAAATGGAAAGTAATATCTCATAGTGGTCTTCATTTATGTTTTCCTGATTATTGGTGATGTTAAGTACCTTTTGATATACCTGTTATTCAATTGTATGTATTCTTGAAGAAATGTCTATTAAGCTTCTTTGACAATTTTTAAATCAGGTTATTTGCTTTCTTGCTATTCACTTGTATGAGATCTACACACACACACACACACATTTGTGTGTGTGTGTGTGTATATATATAATTTGTAGAGACAGTGTCTCCGTATGTTGCGTAGGCTTGTCTAAACTCTTGAGCGCAAGTGGTCCTCCCGCCTCAGCCTCTCAAAGTACTGGGATTACTGGCATGAGCCATGGTGCCTGGCCACCCATATATATTTTTGATATTATGAAACCCTTTATCAGATATATAGTTTGCAAATACTTTGTCTCATTCTATAGGCTGCCTTTTTATTTCATTGATTGTTTCTTTTGCTATGCAAAAGCTTTTTAGTTTAATGCAATCACTTTATTTCTGCTTCTATCGCATGTGCTTTTGGTGACATACCCAATAAAATCATTGCCCAGACCAATGGCAAGGAGCTTTCTCTCTATTTTCTGCTAGAAGTTTTATAGTTTCAGGTAAGGATTAGGCTTTAATCTCTCTCCTGATTTCTTGGAAAGTCAGATAAACAACTTAGTTTCAGTTTGGTTACATGGCACCTTAGGGTGAATGGCTCCATTTTAGTTTCTTCTGTTGGAGACTAGTGCAAGAACTCAGCTCAAAAATAACCTCCCATAAATTTTATTTGACAACCATCTTACAAAATCTTTCTAAGATGCAAAATTAACACACACTTAAAACTTTTGAATAATTTAATATTACTTTCATAAAAAGTTTATTTACTTACCCAATTAGCTTAAATCTCAAATGTGACATTCTTTTACCAAAAGTAGTTACTTTTGATAGAGAAAGCTAAATTATTTTAACTGCATTCCCAGAGAAAGTTGTATACATCCTAAAAATGAATTTATAATTTATTTCTAGCTATGACATTTCTTCAATATGTCTAGTTTCCTATTAGCCTCTGACCTACTTGAACACAAGGATGGCATCCCTATATTTTGGAAAGAGCTGCTACAAAGGTCCCTGAAATGTATTCAAGTCCTTTTCCCCATTGTCTTGGATATTAGCACTTGGCTCCTTTTTAGTTATGTTAATATCTCTAGCAAGTGGTTGCTCCACAGCCTACTTGAATTCCTCTCCTTTCAAAGCTTTCCTTTCAAAGCTTTTTCTTGCTACAAAGCTAGGCTGAAAATTTTTCAAACTGTTATGCTCTGCTTCCTGATTAAATATAAATTTCAACTCTAAATCATTACTTTGCTCCCCCATCTGATTATGGATTGTTAGAAGCAGCCAGGCAACATCTTGAAAACTTTACTGCTTAGAAATTTTCTCTGCCAGATATCCTATATGGTCATCTTTAGTTCAAGCTTCCACAGATCCCTAGGGAATGAACAAAATGCAGCCAAGCTCTCTGCCAAGGCGTAACACACATGACCTTTGTTCCAGTTCCCAGAAGTTCCTCATTTCCTTCTGAGACCTTGGCAGCCTGGACTTAACTATCCATATCACTGTCAGCCTTTTGGTCACAGTCATTTTAACTAGTCTCTAGGAAGTTCCAAATGTTCCCTCATCTTCCTGTCTTTATCTGAGCCCTCCGAACTCTCCCAACCCATTACCCAGTTCCAAAACTGCTTCCAGATTTTCAGGTATCTTTATGGCAATGCCCCACTGCTAGTACAAATTTTCTATGTTAGGCCATTCTTGCATTGCTATAAAGAAATATGAGAAATTGAGGTCAATTTATAAAGAAAAGGGACTTAATCGGCTCACAGTTCTGCAGGCTTTACAGGAAGCATGGTGCTGGCTTCTGCTCAGCTTTTAGGGAGGCCTCAGGAAGCTTACAATCATGGCAGAAGGTGAAGGGGCAAAAGGTATGTCACAAGAGAAAAGCAGGAGCAAGCGAGAGAGTCAGGTGAGGATGGTACCACACACTTTGAAATGGCCAGATCTTGCAAGAACTCACTATTACCAGGACAGCACCAAACCATGGGAGATTCACCCCATGATACAAACACCTCCCACCAGGCACCACCTCTAGCACTGGGGATTATAATCCAGCATGAGATTTGGGCAAGGACAAATATCCAAACAATATATTCACATTTTTTTTTAAAAAAGCAGCCATCCTAACCAGTCAAAGAAAATTAAGAAATTTAAATAATGAACATGTATTTCCTGTTTTGATTACTTGACTGATGAACAGAGATTTTAATAAAATCATGAGTAACTGTATTATTTATCATGCCTTCAGTGATGTATAGTAGACTTCAGAAATGTGTTCAAGTCATAGAGAGTCAGAAAGTCATTATTCTTTAATAGCAACACAATAAATCCTGAGGTATTAATTATTATCAATTATCATGTGAATTAACAAAATATATAAAAAATAAAGTCTTTAAGGTGTATAGGACTATTTAAATAAATATGACATACAACATATATCACAACGAAAAGCACATGGTTAAAAAGTAAATACTTCAGTGAAATAAAAATCTTGGCTATTTGGAAGTTATTTTTTTATGTTATTATTGTTTGTAAGTCAAACAAATATTTTATGTTTAGAAGGAAGTGTGGAAAAATGAATTGTAAAAAAGCCAACCTTATTTTGTTTCCTTCTACAAACTGGAGAAGACAATCAATATTTGATTTTGTTTTTAAATATTGCATGAAAGGTATACAAGCAAGAGTATTCCATAGAAGGACAACTTAAGCATGTCTGGCAAAAAAATTGAAATTAGGTAATTCTATTTTTATATTTTTGAGAACTGCCATACTGTGTTCCACAGTAGTTTTACAATTTTTCATTCCCACCAACAGTCCAAAAGGGTTCCAGTTTGCCCATATTCTTACTAGGATTGTTATTTTCTGCTTTTTTTAAAAAACATATTGGCCATCCTAATGGGTGTGAGGAGATATCTCACTGTGGTTTTGATTTGCATTTCCCTAATGATTAGTGATATTGAGCATATTTTCTTGTGTTTGTGGGCCACAGAGGATGGGAAGTTTTTGTTGAATACATATTATTCAATGAGGAGTTATTCTTTACTGAGCACAGAATTTCACTTTTGCAAGATGAAAATGTTTCTGGAGACAGATGGTGATAGTTTCACAATATGAATGTACTTAGTACTACTGAACTGTACACTAAAAATGGTTAGAATGTGTATTTTACTACACAAAGTATTTTTATAAAGTGAATAAGGAAATTGTGAAAAAATTAAAGTCAGCAACCTGAATATTAACTATAAAATGAAAATTATTTCCATGTTAACTCTATTGTTTTCATGTGTGAACTTCATATTAATGGGGAAAAAAATAAAGACTAACCTTTTATTTTGTCTCCCTAAGCTGTAGGTTTTTCTAAGAAACAAAGTGTATAAAACTGAATAAATGGATTTTGATTGTTTTTACATAGTCATTTCATAGTTTGCCTGGTAAATTATAAATCAATGCTAAGGTACAAAAACATATACATTTATTTTATGTTTAGCTTTTTAGTTGGACTCCTTATAATATAGATAAGTTACCTATAATATAGATAAGAACCAAATTTATCTATAATATAGATAATGTAACATCTATAATATAGATAACCAAACTTATCTATAATAATCTTTGATTTTTAGCAATTATAAAGTAGAAATTCAGTAGTAAATATGGTTTAAAATAGGCAATTGGCTACTACTAAACATATTGTGAATTTCTATTTTTTCTGTTTTTCTTCACTATAGTAATTCATCCGTTGTATCAGAAAGCGATGACGTGGGACATTAATATTGCACAGAACTTCCATAGCAAATAACCTAAAGGAACGAATGTGCTTTATTTATAACCTTACGTTATCCCCAATGCATTGTAAATGTCAAACTTTTGGAAAATAAAGCCTGCGTGCCCTCCCATGTGCCTCCTCCAGTGCCTCTTGCTGTGGTTGGGAACACCCTGACTCCAAGTTCCAAGAGTCTCTGGGATCCACAGACCTGGGTCTGGGCCGTGCCCTCCAGAACCCACCGTTCTTGGGATCTGCTCGGCCTCCCCAGCCCTGGCCAGAAGCAGCCCCCATTCCATGCTCAGCAGCCATCACTGTGGCGAGGCCGCTGGCCACGCAATGCTCTCTTGCTGATCCTCTCAGGGCTGGGCCGGTTGACCTCCGCGGGTGATTGCAAGTGAAGAATTTTTGCTGCGTACGGGGACTGCATTTCAGTGTCCAGAGAGGAAGCATGTGTCACCCTCCCTGTTCCAGTAGCTCAGGCCAAGCTGTGCAGAAGAAACAGAGCTTGTTGCTCCAGAGCCCCAGAGCTTCAAGGCCAGGCGGGCATCATCCCCTTGGTCTTGAACCTCAGGCCGGGCTGGGGAGGGGCACAGTCAGAGCCTGCCCAGTTTCAGGGCCACTGTGCCATTGGCATCTGGTTGAACCTGCTAGTTGGAGGGCTTAGCCCAGAACTCAGACAGCTGTTCCTCACTTACCTGACTCTGCTCAAGAGGGTGCATTTCCTGGAGAGGTGGGGGAAGGAGGGAGGCTGGATGGGGTTTGACACCTACAGCCCATATTTCCTTTCCCATTCTGGGTTGAGGTCACCTAGACCCAGAGTGTGGGGGATGACTCTGGGTAATACTCCCTCTTCTCTTCTAGGGGAGTCTCTTCCTGGAATTGGACAAAGTCTGGTTTTGTGGGGTGTGTGTGTGTGTGTGTGTGTGTGTGTGTGTGTGTATTGGGGCTTGGAAGTATAGTGATGTAAGATGAGCAGACGAGTGAAGAAAGGATGCTGTGATACACTGGGAATGCTCACATGTTTTTCCTTACTGCAGATTCGGAAACACCATTTCTACAAATTGTATGGCCACAGAATATTAAGAAAGACACCAATAATGTTGATGTATCTATACACATTCATCTGTGAAATTATGTTTGTGCTCATATTTACTTTGTTCTTACATTTTGCCTGAGTGAAAATAAATGGTTTACTTACTTTTTCTTTCATTATTCTTCAAGTAGTATATGCATACTAGGGAAATAATTCTTAAATATTTAAAAATACAGTCTCAGAAAAAAACAAAAGAAAGCATACCAAATTCCTAGCACATAAAAAGGCTAAACAGCCAACTTGAACTTGATTTTAACTAGCTTTATTGAGACGTAACTAACATATCATACAATTCACCCATTTAAAGCATGCAATGCGCCAGGTGTAGTGGCTCACTCTTGTAATCCCAGCACTTTGGGAGGCCAAGGTGGGCGGATCACGAGGTCAGGAGATCGAGACCATCCTGGCTAACACATTGAAACCCCATCTCTACTAAAAATACAAAAAATTAGCTGGGCATGGTGGCGGGTGCCTGTAGTCCCAGCTACTTGGGAGGCTGAGGCAGTAGAATGGCGTGAACCTGGGAGGCGGAGCTTGCAGTGAGCAGAGATCATGCCACTGCACTCCAGCCTGGGCGACAGAGCGAGACTCCGTCTAAAAAAAAAAAAAGTATGCAATGTAATAGTTTTAGTAAGATCACAGAATTATGCAACCATCACCATAATCAATTTTTGAACATTTCATCACCCAAAAAAGAAGCTCCAGAAACATTAGTAATCACTCCCCATTGTTTTCTCCTACTTTCCTTTACTTCACCTTTACTTCACCTTTACTTCTCCTTTACTTCACCAGCCCCAGGCAATCACTTATCTACCTTCTAGCTCTATATATTTGTTTATTCTGATCCTCAAAAGACAAGAAAAGCAAGAATAGAAAACAAGGGATTACTTTAAACTAAAAAGCTTTGATATAGCAAAAGAAACAGTCAATAGAGTGAAGAGACAACCTATATAATAGGAAATATTTGCAAATTATACATCAGGTAAGGGGTTAATATCCAAAATTTATAGGTGACTAAACTCAATAACAAGAAAACAAATAATATTATTTTGAAATGGGCAAAGGACCTGAATCGACATTTCTCAAAAGAAGCCATCCAAATGGCCAAGAATTGTATGAAAAAATGGTCAGCATCACTATCATCAGGGAAATGCCAGTGAAAATCACATGCAATGTAATGTCACTGCACACCTGTAGAATGGATCCTTTATTGACAAAAAAGTGCACAATTAAACATTTATGCTAAGAGATTTTTTCATACAAATTCTTAGAATTAGAAAATTTAGCAAAAGATACTTGAGCTCTGAAAAATTAATTAATACCATATGTACGATAATGGTTAGAAAGCTGAAAAGTGTTAAAGGAAGTGACACATCCAAGTCTCAATCACTTACTGGCTGTGTTTCAAAACAATTCTAATTTTCTTAACAGTAAAATAGGTAAAGTTATACCTAACTTGTGAGTATGCTGTGAGACTTTATGAGATATTTTATAAGGCGTTTAACCATGATACATAAAACTTGTTTTTCACATTTTTTGTTATTATGAGTAAGGTACAGGTAAGTTATGTTGTTGAAATATAGATTTGTGCCTTAAGCAACTGTGTATATTGTGATGCCATTACTTGATATCCAGAATGTAGAAGGCAAAATATATGTCTTTATTCTCAAACAATAGGATAAAAGAGGAAAGGAAAATATTTCATTGGCTTGTTTCCTATACAGTTTGTATCAAATACAGTTATAAGATACATCATGAAGTTCTACATATGAAAACCAATCCATGTAATAGAATGAAAGAAAAAAACCACATGGTCATCCTAAGTGAAGGAGAATAAGCATTTGATAAAATTCAGTATACTTAATGATAAAAAAGCCTCAAGAAGCTAGGAATAGAGGGAAACTATCACAAAATAGTTAAAAGTATATATGATAAACCCACAATGAATATCATATGTAATGGTGAGAGTGAAAACATTTACTCCAAGATCAGGAACAAGGTAATGATGTCCACTTTCACTGCTTCTATTCAACACAGTACTGGAAGATCTACTTAGAGCAATTAAGCAAGACAAAAAGCATCCAAACTGGAAAGACAAAGTAAAATCTCTGTTCTCAGTGGTAGAATCTTATCTATAGAGAACACTACACACAAATGCACACACATCCACACACACACACACACACACACACCATGCTATAACTAATAAATTCAGTGCAGTAGCAGGATACCAAATCAACACCCAAAAATTAGTTGCTTTTGCCCAGGCATGTGGTTCACATTTGTGATCTCAGCTACTTGGGAGGCTGAGGCAGGAGGATTGCTTGAGGGAAGAAGTTCAAGACCAACCTGGGCAAAATAGCAAGAAGTCATCTCTAAAACAAATTTTTTAAAAAATTAGCTGGCCCTGATGGCACACTTGTAGCCGAAAGGATCGCTTAACCCCAGGAGTTCAGGCCGCAGTGAGTTGAGATCATACCACTGCACTCCAGCCTAGGTGACAAAGCAAGACCTCATCTTGGAAAACAAAAGGAAAAAACTGTTGCATTTATTTACACTAACAATAAACAATCTAAAAGGGAAATTAAAAATTAAATATACAATAGCATTAAATAGAATGAAATAATTACAAATAAATTTAACCAAAGAGCTGCTGAAAGATGTGTACAATGAAATCTACAAAATATTGTTTAAAGAAAGTAAAGACATAAGTAAATGGAAAGTTATCCCATGTGCATGGATTAGAAGACTTTATATTTAAGATGCCAGTATTATGTAAATTGATCAGATTAAATGCAATCCCAAACAGAATCCTAATGGCTTTCATGCAGGAATAGAAAAACTTATTCTAAAATTTATATGGAATCTCAAAGGATTCTGACTAGCCAAAATAGTTCTGAAAAAGAACAAAGTTGGAGGACTCACACTTTCTGATTTTAAAATTACCTAAAAATCTACAGAAATTAATACAGCTGGATGTAAAGACAGATATACAGACCAAAGTAACAGACTAGAAAGACCAGAAACAAACCTGCAGGAGTATAATTAAATGATCTTTAATAAAGTACCCAAGACAAATAGGGGAAGGGCAGTCTTTTAAACAAATCATGTTGGGAAAACTAGATTTCCACAAGCAAAAGGATAAAGTTGGACCCTTACCTAAGGCCACATACAAAAATTAACTCAAACTATATCAAAGACTTACATGTAAGGGTTAAAACTGTAGAAGCCTTAGAAAAAAATATAGGCCAAAAGCTTCATGATGTTTAATTTGGGAATGATTTATTGGAGATGATATCAAGGTACAAATAACAAAAGAAAAAAATAGACAAAACAGACCTTACAAAAATTAAAAACTTTTAAGCAAAAAAAAATAGAGTGAAAAGGCAACCAACAGAATGAGAGAAAATATTTATAAATCACAACTTATAATGGATTAATATCCAGAATAGATATACAACTTCTAAAATTCAGCAACTTCTAAAACTCAAAGCAAAAAAACAGTTCAAAAGGACTTGAATAGACATTTTTCCAAAGACAAACAAATGGCCAAATAAGCACATGAAAAGATGTTTAACTCCAGAAACATTAAACAAAAAAATACAGAATCCTGAAAATAGCAAAAGACAAATAACTTTGTCACATACAAACAATGCTGAATAAGAATAATAGTTGATTTATCATTAGAAACCATGGAGGCCACAAGAGAGTAAGATGAAATAGTCAAAGTTCTGAAGGAAAGAAATGATCAATCAATAATTCTATATTGAGCAAAACCATCCTTCAAAAATGAAGAAGAAATTAAGACATTCTCAGACAGACAAAAACTGAGAGAATTTGGCACTAGCAGAGCTACCCTATAAAAGAACTGAATCCATATGAACAAAAATTAGGCACCATTAAGGGTAACTATGAAGGTAAATATAAAAGACAATATAAGTTTATTTTGGTTGTAATTTTCATATCCTATCTTATTCAAAAGACAGCTACATAAAGCAATAATTATGAATCTAAATTGATGGGTACACAATAGTAAGTATGTAATTTGTGACAATAAGACAAAGTATACTGGAGCAGAGGACAGAGCTACATATAAGCTAAGCCTGTATACTATTGAAATTAAATTGGCATTACTTCAAACTACATTGTTATAAATTTAAGATATTAATGTAAACCTCAGACCAGTCACTAAGGAGACAATTCAAAAATATATGTTAAAGAAAATAAAATTAAAATAGTAACTCAAAAATGTCCATTTACCTCAAAGAAAGCAGTAATGGAGGGAAAAAAGGAAGAGAAAAGACATAAGACACAGAGAAAACCCAGGGTCCTTTCCAAGATGGCTGAATAGGAACAACTGTGGTCTGCAGCTCCCAGTGTGATCGATGCAGAAGACAGGTGATTTCTGCATTTCCAACTAAGGTACCTGGTTCATCTCATTGGGACTGGTTGGAGAGTGGGTGCAGCCCACAGAGGGTGAGCTGAAGCAGGGTGGGGCATCGCCTCACCCAGGAAGCACAAGGGGTTAGGGGATTTTTCCTTTCCTAGCCAAGGGAAGCCATGACATACTGTACCTGGAAAAACGGGACAGTCTCACCCAAATACTGTGCTTTCCCATGGTCTTAACAACTGGCAGACCAGGAGATTCTTTCCCATGCCTGGCTCGGCAGGTCCCACACCTACGGAGCCTTGCTCACTGCTAGCGCAGCAGTCTGAGATCTACCTACAAGGCTGCAGCCTACACCTACAAAGAAACATAGACTCCTAGACAATAATAGTGGAAAAATTCAACACTCCACAAACAGCATTAGGCAGATCATCAAAGCAGAAAATTAATAGATATTCAGGACCTGAACTCAACATTGGACCAGATGTATCTGTTTGACATCTACAGAACTCTCCACTAGAAAATAACGGAATATACATTCTTCTCATTGCCACATGGCACATACTCTAAAGTCAACCACGTAATTGGACATAAAGCAATTCTTAGCAAATGCAAAAAAAAAAAAAAAAAAAAACAAATTATACCAAACACACTCTCAGACCACAGTGCAATAAAAATATAAGTCAAGACTAAGAAAACCACTCAAAACCATGCAATTACATGAAAATTAAACATGCTCATGAATGACATTTGGGTAAATAATAAAATTAAGGCAGAAATCAAGAAGTTCTTTGAAACAAATGAGAACAAAGATACAGTGATACGGTTTGGCTGTGCCCCACCCAAATCTTGAATTGTAGCTCCCATAATTCCCATGCGTCATGAGAGGGACCTGGTGAGAGGTAATTGAATCATGGGGGTGGGTATTTCTTGTGCTGTTCTCATGATAGTGAATAAGTCTCACAAGATCTGATGGTTTTATAAAGAGCAGTTCCCCTCCACATGCTCTTTCTTGCCTGCTGCCATGTAAGATATGGCTTTGCTCCTCTTTTGCCTTCTGCCATGATTTTGAGGCTTCCCCAGCCACGTGGAACTGTGAGTCCATTAAACCTCTTTTCCTTTATAAATTACTCAGTCTTCAGTATGTCTTTATTAGCAGCATGAGAACAGACTAATACAGTAAATTGGTACCAGTAGAGAGGGGTGCTGCTGTAAAGATACCCAAAAATGTGGAAGCGTCTTTGGAACTGGGTAACAGGCAGAGGTTGGAACAGTTTGGAGGGCTCAGAAGAAAAGAGGAAAATGTGGGAAAGTTGGGAACTTTCTAGAGACTTGTTGAATGACTGATGAAAATGCTGATAGTGTTATGAACAATGAAGTTCAGGTTGATGTGGTCCCAGATGGAGATGAGGAACTTGTTGGGAACTGGAGAAAAGGTGACTCTGTGCTTTAGCAAAGAGACTGGTGGCTTTTTGCCCTTGCCCTAGAGATACGTGAAATTTTGAACTTGAGAGAGATGATTTGGAGTATCTGGTGGAAGAAATTTCTAAGCAGCAATGGACTCAAGAGAAAGCAGAGCA
Organism: Homo sapiens; assembly: GCF_000001405.40. Taxonomy (NCBI): domain Eukaryota; kingdom Metazoa; phylum Chordata; class Mammalia; order Primates; family Hominidae; genus Homo; species Homo sapiens. The sequence continues at coordinate 39,736,996 of NC_000008.11, forward strand.
TAAAAGTTTGAAAAATTTGCAGCTTAATGATGTAATAGAAAAAGAAAAACCCATTTTCTGGGAAAAAGAAAATCAAGCCAGCTGCAGAAATTTGCACAAGTAATGAGAAGCTGAATGTTAATCATCAGGACAATGGGGAAAATGTCTCCAGGCTATGTCAGAGAACTTCTTGGTGGAGTTAGTCAGAGGGTTGTTGTAGTGTAGGTCAGAAAAGTAAATCTCATGTAAGTTGTCTTTGTTTTGTGTTGCTATAAAGGAATATGTGAGACTGGGTACTTTTTTTTTTTTATTATAAAAAGGTTTATTCTGCTCACAATTCTGTTGGATGCAAGATTGATCTCTGGTGAAATCCTCAGGTGCTTTTACTCATGGTGGAAGGTAAATGGGAACAGGCACGTGCAAATCTCACATGGTGAGAGAGGAAGCGAGACATAGGGGGAGGTGCCAGGCTCTTATTAACAACCGGCTCTTATAGGAACTAATAAGGGAGAACACACCCGTTACCATGAGGATGGCACCCAGTAATTCATGAGGGATCTGCCCCCATGACCCAAACACCTCCCATTAGGACCCACTTCTAATACTGGAAATCAAATTTCAACATGACGTTTTGGGTGGACAAACATCCAAACTATAGTATTAGGTCTTAATGTCAATCAATATAACTTACACTTTAAAAGACTAATTTTTTGCAAATAGATTATAGATAGGCAAGGGGAAAAGTGGATGAAGCAAGTATGGGGGCTGTAACAATAGTCAAGGAGAGTAACGACGGTGGTTCAAACTAGGAATGGTAAGTGTAGTCAAAGTTTGAATATTTTTTGAAAGTAAACCAATGGAGATAATTGACAAATTGAATGATTACTGTGACATCATTACTTTATAATCCAGCAATTTCACTTCTAGGTAAATATCCAAGAGAAATAGAAACATATGTCCACAAAAAACTGGTACATTAGAGTTCATAGCAGCATTATTCATAATAGAGAAAAAGTGGAAAGAGTCCAAATGTCTGTCAACTGATATATAACAAATAAAAATATAATAATGAATGGATGAAATGTACTTTATTTACAAAATGTGGTGTAACAATGAAATGCTGCATTTTTGGCCAGGTACGGTGGCTCACACCTGTAATCCCAGCACTTTGGGAGGCTGAGGTGGGTGGATCACCTGAGGTCAGGAGTTTGAAACCAGCCTAGTCAGCATGGTAAACCCCCTCTCTACTAAAAATACAAAAATTAGCCAGGCGTGGTGAGGGGTGCCTGTAATCCCTGCTACCTGGGGGGCTGAGGCAGGAGAATTACTTGAACCTGGGAGACAGAGGTTGCAGTGAGCTGAGATCATGTCACTGCACTCCAGCCTGGGCAAAAGAACAAGACTCTGTATCAAAAAAAAAAAAAAAAAGAAAGAAAGAAAAAGAAAAGAAATGTTGCATTGTCATTTTGACACTGTAACAGCACAGTGGAGGATTTGCAACAGAAGCCATGTGACTCATAATGCCAAAAACGTTTATTATCTGGCTCTTTACAGAAAAAAATGTATGCTAACCACTGGACTAAATACAAGTTATGTGATAACTGATTGAATTAGAAAGCAAGGCCCATATGTATGCCTCTATGATAAACCTCTTTTAAATATAAAAATTTAGATAGGTCAAAAGTAAAAAGACAAATGTATCAGGCAAACACTAATTAAAGTAGGTCCAGGTACTTATCCTAATTTCAGATAAAATAGATATTCCAACAGACAGTTTTCAGAGAAAAAGGAGACATTACAAATTATAAGGGGAAAATTCTCCAAGAAGACATAACAATACTAAATGTGTATGCTTGACAGAAAACTGACAGATCTGAAAAGAGAAACAGACACGTCCTCAATTATAGTTGTAGATTTCATTATTCCTCTTTCAATATCTGTTAGAACTGCTGAGAAGAAAATCAGTAAAGATATAGATGATGTGAAGAAAGCCATCAAGCGAATTGATCTAATTGGCATTCAGACACCCAACATCCGGATACACAATCTTCTCAAGTGCACATGGACCATTCACCAAGATAGATCATATTTTGGACCATAAAATAAATAATTACTACTTTGGAAATTTTCTTGCTGCTTTAACTGCACTGTAAGAAATTTGCAGAAGAACAATGATCGCAAGTAATTTATAATTAAATGTTCCTAACCAGTGATGAGAAAGTCAGTGGCGGATTATACAGGGAGGGTAGATTTATTTTACAAATAAACTGGGAGAACTCTATTCTTATATCTGTGGATGCCTGAATGTTTAGCTGTGACTCTTGACTTAAGTGAGAGAAGGAATATGTATAATTTGCTGTTTAAGGTATAATTCCCTGAAAACCTCCAGGACCAATTGACTTACCTGGAAAACCTGGTTATACAACCTGGATTTTCATTCTGTACATAAATGCATAAAGGCTCCACTGGGAACTTCTTTCATGAGCTTTCCTAGAGACAGAATTTATTCCACAAACCTTTGTCATTTCATGAAGAGATTAAGCCATGAGTCTCTGTGTACAGATATTAATAAGAACCCCAGGGACTTTGCATGTGGATGTCTATTGGATCCCTGGGGCTCACCAGCACTCTCTCTTGTGACACCAAATCCTTCGTCTTTGAATAGAACATTTAATATGAGTATGCTCTACTGAGGCTTTGAGTCCCATCAAATATCCAATCTTAAATATCTTTATATGGGCCGAATCTGTAAATTATGTTCTCATCTTGAAACATATGAGCCTGAGAGAGATTCTGATAAAGATTTTATATTTCAAATGTATTGTAAATTTATAGTGTTCCTTGCTGAGGCAATTACTAATCATATTAAATTATTCCATGTTCTAGTGTTGTTTAGCCTTTATTATCTCTAAGTTCTTAAGACTGTGAAAGATTGCTTAGTACCAAATAAATAGGTAGGGAGGTAGAGATATAGATAGATAGATAGATAGATAGATAGATAGAGATGGTAGATTTAGATAAATACATTATAACTGACACAAAAGTTTCTGAGAAAGGAAGTTTACTTCATATTTAGCTTTGCATCTAACGAAGCAGTGCATTTAAAAAGAAAATGAGAATTAAAACTCTGACCACAACCATTTCCTTAATTAAAGTAATGTTCTCTTATTGCCCCGGTGGAATTCTTTATTGCCTAATGTTTGATATTGAGGAGGGCATGGACCATTCTAAAAGTTCTCATTTAGTATAGCTGCAAAAATTAGTTAAAGGGTAAACTTTAATCAATGTCCTTCCCCTTCCTCCCATGAAAAGGACAATACACCCCATTCACACATAACACCCATACCAATTATATGTTCGGGTAAAAAGAAAGTAACCATGGTGCAGTCTTTAGAATCAAACTTTACTATCTGTAATTTCACATTTCCACTATGGTATTTCCATTTCACTCACATACATCTTAGGTCCTTCTTGTCTCTCGGAGGGATTACGGTACATTGAGTTCTTGTAGGTAACAGTTCTAAGATAATTTGCATACCAACTCAGGCCACTTTACTCAAACTATTGATTCTGCCCCAAAAAAGGCTGGACCAATATATTTTGGCCTCCCTGTCAGTCTTTTTCAGATTTATGGCTTTAAATTGGTTATTAAATTCAGCTCATTCTTTAACTATTTTCTGTTCTAAATTACAGTCCTCATGATTAGATTTGAACTCCACTGGACTAGAATAGATAAATTTCATATGCCATTGGTCTATGAGTTGGGGTTGGCGCTGGAGCAGGTCACTTACCTCTCAAATATTGATAAAGTGCTATCAACTTCTTAGTAGAAACTTCATTTATTTCTTTTTTTTTAACCACATATTTAAAACTAATGAAACAATTTCAGTCAGTGGGCCTGTTATTATGTCTACTTTATCTTTTCCTTTTTGTATTAAGTCCACTTTTTTTCAATTGACAGATAAAATTGCATGTACTTATCATTGTAACATAATGTTTGGAAACATGTATACATTGTGGAGTGATTAAATGTAACTAACTGATAAATTCATTATCCCAAATAGTTAACATTATTGTGGTGCAAACACAATCTGCTTTCTGTGTTTTTCAATAATAAAATACACCATCATTGACTATAGTCAACACGATAGATCTCTTGAGAATATTCCCCCTATTTAACTGTAAATATGTACCCTTGGACCAACATTTCCCCAAACCCCTTTTGTCTTCTAATCACTTCAGCTTCTGGTAACCATCATTCTACTCTCTACTTCTATGAAATCAGTATTTATAGATCCCACATGAGTGAGATGATGTGATATTTGTCTTTCTGTGGCTTCTTTTACTTAACGTCATGGCCTCTAGTTCATAAATGTTGTAGCAAATGAGATAATTTCCCTTTTTATGGCTGAATTATTGTATATATGTACTGTATTTTCTTTATCCATTCATTGGTTGATGGACATTTAGCTTGATTCCATATCTTGACCCTATTGTGTGTGCTGCAGTAAACCAGGTAGTGCAGACATCTATTCAACATACTGATTTTATTTACTTTGAATACATAACCAGTGGTGGGACTGCTGAGTCATACAGTACTTCTATGTTTAATTTTTTGAGGAACCTCCATACTGTTTTCTATAATGATTGTATTAATTTATATTCCCAACAACAGTGTATAAGTGTTCTGTTTTTTCTGCATCCTCATCTGTACTTGTTATCTTTTATCTTTTGATAACAGCCAATCTAACATTATATCTTATTGTGGTTTTGATATACATTTTCTGATGAGTAGTGATATTGAGCATTTTTTAGTTTACCTGTTGGCCATTTGTATGTATTCTTTTGAGAAAGTCTATTCCTTTATTGTGTCCATTGTTTAATTAGGCTATTTGTCTTCTTGGTGTTTGAGTTTGTTAATATTTTGAATATTAACTTATTATCAGATGTATAGTTTGCCAATCTTTTCTCTTTTTCTTTAAGCTGTCACCTCACTCTGTTGAGTCTCATTTGCTGTACAGAAGCTTTTTAGTATGGTGCAATTCTATTTGTCTATTTTTGCATTTGTTGTCTGTACTTTGAGGTCATATTCCAAAAAGTCTTTACCCAGACTAAATGTCGTGGAGCTTTTCCCCTATGTTTTTCTTCCCCTATACTTTTACAATTTCAGGTCTTATATTTAAGTCTTTGATTCATTTTGAGATAATTTATGTATATATTAGATCCTATATATCTAAGATATATAGGATCTAATTTCATTCTTCTGCATATAGGTAACCAGTTTTGTCAACATCATTTGTTGAAGAAACTTTTCCTCATATGTATTCTTGGTGCCTTTGTCGAAAATCAGTTGGCTGTAAATGCACAGATTTATTTCTTGGCTCTCTATTCTGTTCCATTGGTCTACATGTCTGCTTTTATGCCAGTACCATGGTGTTTGCACATTTTGAAGTTAGGTAGTGTGATTTACTTACAAATTACCCAGCCTCAGCCGGGCGTGGTGGCTCACGCCTGTAATCCCAGCACTTTGGGAGGCCAAGGCGGGCGGATCACCTGAGGTCAGGAGTTCAAGACCAGCCTGGCCAACATGGCGAAACCCCATCTGTATTAAACATACACACATTATTCGGGCGTAGTGGTGTGCGCCTGTAATCCCAGCTAATCGGGAGGCTGACGCAGGAGAATCACTTGAACCTGGGAGGCAGAGGCTGCAGTGAGCCAAGATCATGCCATTGGCACTCCAGCCTAGGCAACAAGGGTGAAATTCTGTCTCAAAAAAAAAAAAAATCCAGCCTCAGGTTTTTCTTTATAGCAATGCAAGAATGGCCTAACACTATCTTTAATTTCTTTTAATAGTAATTTGTCATTTTGTATGTATAGGTGTCATAGTTTTCCTAGAATGGTTATTTCCAAGGATTTAATATGTTTAGTGCTAATGTAAATAATATTCTTTTAAATATTCTAGTGTTTACATTTTTATTTTATATGTAAATGGGATACTTGTGTATTAAATTTACACCCAATGGATTTTTCAGATTCACTTGGTAGTTAAAATATTTTATCTATAGATTATCTTGGATTTTCTGTGTTTATATTATAATAAGATTTTCTTTGTATAAAGATTCCTATTTAAAGTTTATTTTTTACTTTTTTGTAGCCATATTTACTGACTACTATTTCCACAAAGATATATAAAAATGTTAATAGTGAATTTTCTTAACTTCTTCACAATATTAGGAGGAAAGACTAGAAAATTCAATATTAATTATTTTCATTATATAAATGTTTTGTTGATCCCTTTCATCAGATTAAAAAACTTCAAATCTATTTCTAGTATCTTAAAATCTGTGTGTCTTGCGTGAGTATATGCTTATAAATCAGATAATTGAGTCAAATAGTTTGACTGTTTTAGATACCTCATATAAATGGAATCATGCAATATTTGCCTTTTTGTGATTGGCTTATTACACTTAGCATAACGTCCTTAAATTTCACCCATGTTACTGCATATAACAAGATTTCCTTCTTTTTTCAGGCTGAATAATCCTTGTCATGTTTTGTTACTAATTTTTGCTGACCTCATGAAAGGAATCAGCATGTGTAGGACTGAAATAATATCATCCTTTACTTTAAATGTTTATATACTTGAAAATGTATCTTTTTTCAGCAGCATATGGTGAAAAATTTTTCCAAATTTTAGGATCATTGCCTTTGATTGATTTCAGACCATCACACTATAACATAACACATACCATTGCAATTTGAAATGTAACAGTGGCTTTTAATCATAGTACCACCTCATTACATTATGATATTTCCTTATACCATGCCCCTACTGACAGAATTAGTGTCTACTAACCAACAGAAATAGCGTAAGATAACTTTAAAAAAACAGAAATTTGTAATGTAAAACTCATTATCATGCATTTTTAAATAAGTAAATTATCTGTGAAATTATACATATATATCATATTTTCTGGTCAAATTAAAATCACAATATGCAGGTTTGAATCCCAGGAAACCAGGTAATGTACATTCTTTTCTTTCCATTTTTTTGTGTCCATCCATCACAGATAATTACTCTAGAAGACTGAATAAATGAAAAAAAAAGTCACCGTTATCAACAAGTTGAAATGATAGCTAGTTCAACAAATAGCATGCAAGTAACCTTATTGCAAAGTAGACTTATATCATGCAATTTATTTTTAGCCAACATTTTAAATATACAAATGCTAAAGAAGTAAAATTAACTAAAGAAAATAATTAAAAAATAACACTGTAATAAATTTTTAAGTGGAAAATTTCAAAATCATTTATAACTTGATCATGTCTATTATAAATTCTGAAAAATATAATTCCGAAAAATAGTCTCCAATTTATTTTTATTATATATAGCTATATGACTGTCACTACTTAATATATATTTATTTAATATATTACGTTCTTTCTCTCTCCTCCCCCCAACCCCCCCATCCTTAAAATATTTGGAACTCACTCATGTCCTTTGCAGGGACATGGATGAAGCTGGAAGCCATCATTCTCAACAAACACACACAGGAACATAAAACCAAACACCGCATGTTCTCACTCATAAGTGGGAGCTGAATCATGAAAACACATGGACACAGGGAGGGGAACATCACACACCAGAACCTGTCGGGGGTTGGGAGGCAAGGGGAGGAAGAGCATTGAGACCAATACCTAATGCATGTGGGGCTTAAAACCTAGATGACGGGTTGATAGGTGCAGCAAACCACCATGGCACATGTATACCTATGTAACAAACCTGCACATTCTGCACCTGTGTCCCAGTACTTAAAGTAAAATAAATTTTAAAAAAATGAAAGAAACTCACAGTGATATCATGGCATCTCTGTTGTCCAGACTACCCTTTAGGTTCACTCTCACTTTCAGGTTGCCTGCATATTAAAAATAAAAATAATATTATACTTTCTTCAAGATGATTTTACAAACCTCTGTATTATCTGTCAGTCTTGAAACAGTTCTGAATTTTTACCTAAGAACTGGGTTCACCCATTATTTGAGAATACCCTATCACTGAGAACATCTCTGCCCTGGTAATCAAGACTAATAATGAACATCTTTGCATCAGTGAATATGAAAAAAAAGCACAGTGATATATGTTTACCCGAAAAGAAACTTAGATCATTGTTATATTCATAGTATTATTGGTTAAGTATCTTTAAACTTTTTGCCATTCATTTTCAACCCTATTAATTTCTATTCATTTTACTAGCTATGCTTTTTTCCCTGAAGATATTTGATATCAGTTATTCCACAATAGTTATCCAATATAAGAAAACCACTTTAGTATATTTAAATAATGACTAAGTTATTACTCGTTTAGGTGCTGTATATTATTTCAGCAATTTCAAATCAACTTTTAAAATATATTCCATTTTCATTTACATTGTCATTTTAAGTATTTTAATGAAATTCAATTCATTTCAAGTAAAATGAAGGACATAGTTATATAACTCCCAGGGAGAAATCATTTGGTAGCATTTTCCTTGAAAATAAATAAACCAGTTTTAATGTTTACTTGTATTTTTATAGCACATATTCAGATATTTTTATTTTTAATAGAAGTTATTTGTTTTATATTTTCTGTAGACTAGCTGTGGCTATCATCTAGATTTTTAAGTCTTTTATTACTTATTAACTTTTAATCTTTTTCTACTTCTAATTGCTGTGCTTCAATTTACATTACTACCAAAAAAAAGCTAAATTACTTTCCTGGGTTTTCCTACTACCTTTCATTAAAATAGCATAAAAATTCACTAAGATATAGAAATATTACAAAGTTATTTAAGTATTATTAAGTTAAAATACATATTTAACAAGATCAAATAATAAAAGAAGATAGATAAACTTTAAAGATAAACTTTAAACTTGAATGGACAGCTAAACTTTAGCTAATCTTGCCCCTAAAAAGTCCAGATTCTTATAAGATTAAAATTGCAATTATTATATGTGTATATATGCATGTGTATGTGTGTGTGTGTGTGCATGTGTGTGTGTGTATATATATATAATTTTTTCTTTTTTGAGTCTCAGTCTCACTCTGTTGCCTAGGCTAGAGTGCAGTGGCACAATCTCGGCTCACTGCAGCCTCTGCCTCCCAGGCTCAAGTGATCCTCCCACCTCAGCCTCCTGAGTAGCTGGGACTATAGGTGCATGCCACCACGCCTGGCTAATTTTTGTATATTTTTGGAGAGATGGGGTTTCATCATGTTGCCCAGGCTTGTCTTGAACTCCTGGCTTTAAGTGATCCACTCGCCTTGGCCTCAGAAAGTGGTGGGATGACAGGCGTGAGCCACCACCCCTGGCCATTAGTTATTAATATATGAGTTATTAAATTCCCATATAAAGACAATAATTGAATTTGAATTATTACTCATTACATCGACCACATTGCTATTTACTATGTTCATAAATTATACAAATAACAAATCTTAAATATGAAATCAATATACTCATCGCTTGAATAGTCCTCAGTTCTCCATTTTTTCCTTTGGAAATTAACTTTCACCATTATAGCAATCAGTACACAGAAAATAATAAAGAAAGGAATGAATAAGAAAAATGGCCATCTCATTGGTTTGGAATGGTAAATGTTCTCAATGTAGCGCCTTTCTAGAAGAAAAAAAAATCAAAGATTTGAAAGCAAGCACCAGAAATATAGTAAAGATATTTCTGTATTTTACTACGTCTACCAAAATAAAATCTTTGAACAATTTAATAATTTAAAAATTAACATATTTTCTATGAAATAGATAACTTGAAAATATAAATGCCCAAAGTGACTCTTGTAACTCTTTTTAAAATGGATAGCTATATATGGTGGGCTGATACTTTGCTGAGGATTTTTGTATCTCTGTTCATGAAGAATTTTTTTTGTGATTTTCTTCTTTGTTGAGTTCCTTGTTTGAATTTGGCATCAGGATTATGTTTTCCTCATACAATGAGTTGACAGGAACTTCCCCACCACTGTTTTCTGAAAATAATATTGCTTTCTTCCAAGAATTTGGTTCAGTTCACCTGTGAAACCATCTATGCCTATAGTTTTTTGTTGTCGTTTATTTTTGTTGGTGGTGACCTAAAAAATCATAAACCCACAGATTAAGAAGTGTGGTTTCTGACTTTTTGTTTATGCCCTTTGGTTTATAATCCAAATAGTCCTTTTCACATCTGACTACCTTTATCAGCCTGTTTCTTGCCTATAGTTGATTGGGGACCAATGAACGTACATGCTACCTTGATCACTTTCAGTCTGAGCTAATATAATTCCTTGAATTTCTCATGTATCAAATAAAAACACAATCCATTAAACAAAGGCCACACTCGCAAATCTCTTTGACATAAGCCTTTCTCTGTATTGGATCCTGTGAGGCTGTTATGAAATGACCAGTTTAAAATTCTTAGTAGCCTTACTGTTTGAAACTTTTTATGATGCATTTACATAAAATACTTAGAAGGCCTTTTGTATAGAAGAAAGAGTCTCTAAGATATATCAACTTAAGTTTTTCTGAGATTTTAACAGAGGTGTTTACAGTCAAAGGCCTTGCTTAATTTTGATTTGAGATAAAATTTTATTGCTCTAATCTCAAATTTGGCCTTTCATTGTTTCTTACTTTAAGAAACTTGTGGAGAATGAAAATTAGTTTTACTTTCAAACCAATAAAATCCTTGCTTGGACCAATGTCCTAGAGTGCCTTATTAACATTTTCTTCCAGTAGTTTCATAGTAGGCATGAGTTCAATTTTCCACATTACCAAAGGCAGCAGTGATGCCAAACAATTTACCACTTCATAATAATGGTTTCACTTTCTGCAACGTGTTTTTAAACTGTCCTTGAATTGCTCACCAACTTCAACATGTACTAAGACTTCAATAGTTTCCTGCCTTTCTGTCTTCCATGCACTATCCAATTTCAAAGCTAAGGTCACATTTTATATTTCTATTACACAACATATTGGGAGCTAAATGTTTTTTATTATTTATTGCTGTATAAGAAATTACCTCAAGGCTTAGTAACTTAAAACACTAGATTTTGCTCACAATTTTGTTGGTTATGAATTTGAGGAGGGCTTATTAGATGGTTGTATTTTTGTTTCTGAGTGCAATCAAATTTCAAATATTGCTGATAATTTTCAAGAAGTGAATGAGAGAATGAGATTTCAGGGAATGAGAGAAGTAAGGGCTGCAAAATACCTGGCTAGAGTCTGTAGGAAGACCACGAGAGTCCTAGAATGTTAGTTCTTCACATTTTATTGATCAATCATACCACTAAAACCAACCTGGAAAGGAGTGGTCTCCACTGCTCATTGGGAAATGGCATGTGTGTGCATGAATAGAAACAATTAATTGCAGCCAATGGGAAGATAAGCTAATTGTTGCTAGTAAAATGGAAATAGCTTGAAAATACATTAATTACAAAGTTTTAAACTTACTAATCTATTACTATATAACATTAAATATAATATTTCCAGATACTGGAATTAATAACTACCTATGACTCAAAATCAGAAAAATGGCTCTACTTGTATGTACATTTAGATTTTTATATCAAAGAAAATCTCCTGGTCCTAAGTATTATTGGATATGCCAGTTAACTTCTGGCTTTCTCTAAAATTCATCTAGGCTTTTCCTCTGCTTTGATCAATATCACAGGGAACCGCACTGCCCAAGTTCCTTGACCTGCTGTCTTCCAGTCAGTTTTGATCACTGGGAATCACTAAGTAATATCTGGAGGATTCGAAGAGTAAAAATAGCTCTGATATTATTCCCCCTTCCTCTCCAGAATCTCCAACAGTGACTGTATATTCTCTATACCTCCAGCTCATGCTGGACAGTTACTCTCCCTGTGGTTTCAATCCTGCTATACATCCCTGACCATAGTTATATATCATGCTAAATGGCCCAGAATCTGATTCTAGTAATACCACCTCTTTTTATTGTCCCTACAACCCTAAAAAGTGGTAGTCATTTTCTGGGTTGCCTCACCTTTCTCTGATTAATCTTCTCATCTATGCAATTACCGGATGCCTTACACGGTGTTCTTTCTGTTTGAAAGACTAAAGTGATTTCTGTCTTTATGCCTGGGCTCTGACTGATATATCATATTTATAACATATGCTACATATGTTGTAATATATTACTCTCTGGAAGTGGAAGTAACACATACACATTCATGTGCAGTTTAATGTCTAAACATAGTCTAGATATAAATTGGTAGACAAAATATTATTTGTTATCCAATTTAATAAATTCAAATTATGTTTTAATTATTTTCTGATTTATTATTAATACTTACCAGGGAGTCTGGCTGGTATAGCTACAGGTGGAAAATTGCCACTGTCAATACTCCCACCAGGCCATAGATCTGATTGAACTGAGCAATCTGGAGGTAAATATGAAGCACTACAGTGACAGTGCTTTTTGTTATTGCATACCTAAAAGAAGGAGAAATATCACCTTATAAGATAAGCAACTAGATTTATATATGTTCAAGTAGAATTATAAAATAATATGTAGGTCAGCTAAGGCCAATTTTCCTATATGTTTTGGTGTGTGTGTGTGTGTGTGTGCGTGTGTGTGTGTGTAGCAATGCAGTTTCCTAAAATTAGGCTCAATGATTTCTATTTTCACCTCATAGTACTGCTACTTACACCTCTATCATTGCATTTGTCAGTAGTACAATCATAACCCAAGTATGAAGAACTCACACATCTTTGATTCCTGCAAACCTAAAAAGGATGAGCAAAAATAAGTTAATTGACATGCCATCTAGAGTTGCCATTTAATTAAAAGCATTCCATACCATACCATATTACCATGGACTAATAAAAAGGGTATTGATTTAGCAACAAGAATTAGTATACTAACAATGAATAGTTAATGTATTGAGCTACTATGTTTCCAGCACTAGATGAGACTCTGATTATCTAGGAGTAAACAAAACAATAACAGCTTCTTCCCTGCTTAGACTGGGATAGCAGGGACAAATATGAAATGAGTAAAACACAAATAAGTACGTAATAAATGCTGTAATGAAAAAATTGATTTGTGAAGCGTAAAATACAGGAAATGTGTCAAATATTTGAGAACAGTTAAAACCTTCTCATTGAGCCCTGATGATAGATAGGACTTAATTAGTATAGAAATAAAAGACAGAGTATTATAAAAAAAGAAGTAATATTTAAAATGATTCTACCATGGAAGACCGTATTGAACCTTTGAGAAATCTAAAGGGCAGTGTGGCCATTCAGTCATTCATTAAATAAATATTTGAGTCCTACAAATGTACCTGGCCCCAAGAAGGCATCAGTGAACAACACAAATCTCATCTTGTTCATACCATAACAAAAGAGAGAGAAACAGACAAAAAACTCGATATTATATGAAAGAAGATATTATTGGCATGATTGTGTAGAATCTTATATTCTTCATGAGCAAGTTGGTCAAATATAGCAATTTGCTATATTTACATATTGGAAGAAGGAAAGCTGATAAAAGTAGGTTTTGGAAAAGAGAATGGAAAGGGCAATAGCCTATAGATACAAAGTTAGAATGTCATTGCTGTGGTCCACAAAAATGATAAGCATACAATGAAATTGAGTGGTAGTGAGGATAGAAACCAGTAGATGTATTTGAGATAGAAAGTTGAAACCAGCTGAGTTGGAGTAATATGCATAGTAAAAAGAGATGGGTGAATGACACCAAGGATTCTGACTTGTTTAATTCTCTTGCTGGTAGTTAAATCAACTGAGATAAAGAAAGTTAAGCATAAAGACAAAGGTTTAGTAATTGTTTTCAGAGATCTCTTTCAACCTATATCAAATAATGCTATGTTTCAAAAGAACAAGAAATGTTTAATGCACTCATACAAATACTCAAAGCGACTAATGGTAAGCCCAAGAACATGTAATTAGAAATATTTTTTATTTTAAAAGTTTGCTAAAGAATATTGGCAATATTTTGGGAGATTTTTCCTCTTATAATATAGGATCATAACACACTAACTTTTAAAGTCAGAGAGTTAATCTGTTCACATAGTTTTTGCCCAACATTATTGAGTATGAAAAAATACATTATTAATTGTGTTGGCTAATTACGGCAATGCATACCTCCATTTAAGATTTATGGGGAAATGGACTAATGATGAATAGATGGCCAGGTTATTTTGGATGGCTGTGGTAGTAGTATAAAAAGTACTAGCTCTGGATACTGGATACAGATTAGTGCTGCTGTAGTTATAAATCTATCTATTCTGTTAGCATGCTTCCTTCACACTTAACTACAATTTAAATACAGTAGTTAGATATATAATTTGCAGAGCTATTGTCCAGAAAAAAGTAAACCTAATTTTCAGAACCATTAAATATATTAATTGTCTAGAGAAACAAAAGTTGAGGAAGGGTTGTTGGTATTACTGGTACCCTTTTTCTGCAATGAAGTGTTTTTGTGGGTTTTTTTGTTTGTTTTTGTTTTTGTCTGGGTTTTGTTTGTTTGTTTGTTTTTGCTTTAACATGCCTGTGGCAGAGTGCTTAACTTCAGTTGTATCATGCAGGAAGCTTTGCTAGGGAAAAGCAGCATCCAAATAAAGAAGCTAGCTAAAAAAATTAAAAATTATTTATAACCATATAGCAATAGTAATATTACATAAAAAAAACAATTCTTTTTTATTCTTCACCAAACTCTCTAAAACAGATTTATTTTTGTTTTGAGATAAGAATCATAATGCAGCCTCCTTTATTATCACTAGGCGGAATAGGTTCCTACAGAAACCTTCTTGTTATGTAGGAACTAAAATGCTAAATGAAATAAAATCTGTACATACTCTTTTTTTTTTTGAGATAGGGTCTCACTCTGTTGCCCAGGCTGGAGTGCAGTGGCTTGGTCTCAGCTCACTGCAGCCTATGCTTCCTGGGTTCAAGCAATTCTCGTGCCTCAGCCTCTCAAGTAACTGGGATTACAGGCTTGTGCCACCACGCCCACTTAATTTTTGTATTTTCAGTAGAGACGGGGCTTCACCATGTTGGCCAGGCTCATACTCTTTTTTTAAAGGCATAGTTGTACCAGAGATAAAAATCATTTTTAGGTTCAGAAAATGTGAAACAGTGTGATTTTACAAAAGCAACCAAAACTGAAGGCAGCACTCCTCCAGTGGCCACCAATGACCAAGCATTTTGGATTTAAATGATCATTTGCACCCCCTACAACAGTGGCAGAATTAGAAGCAGGTTATATCAAACTTTCAATAAATAGTCTGGGGAGGTACATCAGAAAAACGGTGATATAGAAAACAAAACAAAATCTGGCTGAAATAACATTATAGGAGCTCTGGCAACAGTCAAAGGTCTACAGCAACCAGTAAAATACTGAAGAACACATTGTCACAGTCAAAATGGTAGAAAATTTTATGGCATTTTTGTCTGAATGAGGCAGCAGCTAAATTCTCAATCCCTTCCCTCAAACTGAAGGATGCAGCACAGATTTTATTGGCAATACTCTAACTTGTCTGGTAGCTGCCTTAAGGACTGGTTTCTGATTTGCCTAACTCAAATCTCAGATGGAAAGAAGCAGTATAGACTGCTAGGGAAAGGTGCAGGGAGAGTAACATTTGCAGACACCTGGGGCAAAAGATTACGGTGGAGATGTAATTGTAGCTCCCACAATAACGACAGTGTCATGGGAGAGACCTGGTGGGAGGTAATTGAATTATGGCGGCAGGTTTTTCCCATGCTGGTCTCCTGATAGTGAGTAAGTCTCATGAGATCTCATGGTTTTATAAAGGGCAGTTCCCCTGCACACACTCTCTTGCCTGCCTCCACGTAAGACATGCCTTTGTTCCTCCTTTGCCTTCTGCCATGATTGTGAGGCCTCCCCAGCCACGCGGAACTGTGAGTCCATTAAATCTTGTTTTCTATATAAATTACCCAGTTTCAGGCATGTCTTGATTAACAGCATGAGAACAGACTAATACAGTAAAATCGGTACCAGGAATGGAGTGCTGCTGTGAAAATACTAAAAAATGTGGAAGCGATTTTGGAACTGGGTAACAGCCAGAGATTGGAATCATTTGGAGGGCTAAGAAGAAGACGGGAAAATGTGGGAAAGTTTGGAAGTTCCTAGAGACTTGTTGAATGGCTTTGATCAAAATGCGCTTAGTGATATGAACAATGAAGTCCAGGCTTAGATGGTCTCAGATGGAAATGAGGAACTTCTTAGGAACTGGAGAAAAGGTGACTCTTGTTATGTTTTAGCAAGAAGAGTGGCAGCATTTTGCCCCTGCCCTAGAAATCTGTGGAACTCTGAACTTGAGAGATGATTTAGGCTACCTGGCAGAAGAAATTTCTAAGCAGCAAAGCATTCAAGAGGAAGCAAAGCATAAAAGTTGGAAAAATTTGCAGCCTGATGATGCAATAGAAAAAAAAAAAACCCATGTTCTGGGGAAAAATTTAAGTCTGCTGCAGAAATTTGCATAAGTAATGAGGAGTCAAATGTTAGTCATCAAGACAGTGGGGAAAATGTCTCCAAGGCATATCAGAGACTTTCATGGTAGCCCTTCCCATCACAGACACAGAGGCCTAGGAGGGAAAAATGGTTTCCTGGGCAGGGCCCAGGGTCCCCCTGCTCTATACTGCCTCAGGACTTGGCACCCTGCATCCCAGCCACTCTAGCTATGGCTAAAAGGGTCCAAGGTACAGCACAGCCCACAGCTTTAGAGGGTGCAAGTAATAGTAAATCCACCGGAATAGTAAATCCATTACCTCCTTAAAGCATAAATTTCACAGGACCTATAAAACAACAAAACACACACACACACACACTCACACACACACACACAAAACAAGGTATTCAGGCAAGAAATAGCATGAAAATGGGGCAATTTAAAAACCTGCCAACTTGCCCAGTGTTTGTAGAATGGCTCTATTCTGTGAAAGTTCTTTACTAATTAATTTAGTATTATCTTAATGTTGGGGTCAACCTGAATATAAAGCTTATGATCATCCCAGGTCCTTTCTGAGCATGCATCTTTCCTAAGCCTGTGTGTGGTTTTTTAGTTTCTCAAATACATGGTTGATTTAAAATGTATTATTTTTCCAACTCATCCCATCCTCGTCCTAGTGTTCTTAGATGGCTACTTGATGGGACATCACTTTTGTCATGAACACTGTGGCAGGGTACTGCCTGTCATATATCCTTCATCCCATTCACTAACTGTGGATATAACCAGAGTTCCAATCAACCCTTTTGAAGGCCATGTAAAGGAGGATCACAAACAAGATCTATAGCTAAAAACTGGACTGAGTCTGGATCATTGATGACATAATGGCACCCAATAACTGCTCTGGATGGACAACCTCCAAAATTACTTTGTATTATGGGAAAAAAATAACTACCAACGATTTAAGCCACTCTTGGTGGTTCCCATTTCCTGTGCAATTCCTACCTCACATAACGTATTTTAGCCTATTTAGAAACAATGGAGAATTTAAAATGTAAGATAGTCTTGGGCATTAATTTGGTAAGACATTTTCAAAGTAAATTTAATAAAAGCAAATGTGTTGCACAATTTTTTAAATGACTTACATTTTGTGTGAGAATTTGAATGACAGTTTTTTTATTTGTATACACTCTTACTTACTAATTTTCTAAATGAATATTAGTAAAGTTAGCATAGTTTTCCTTTCCCTCTTTTCTTCAATAAGGGGCTTACTGTATTCTGTTACTTATTAAGCCAGAGAGGCTTTATAATTTAAACATGAGACTAATTTGAGCTTGCACCTCCTTGTGTATATACGTGTTTGTATGTATTTCATATTTCATATAATAAAAAAATCTAGGAAGGCAAAAACTGTTGATATGTATGCATAGGTACCATATTGAATGCAAAGTAAGAAAGATAGTTATGTAGACAGATAAATATTCTACAACTCCATGTGTGTGTGCATGTCTATGAAAAATTGATGGAAGGTTCATAAAAATTAAGTTATTACATCTCAGATATGCGACTGGATTGATTTTTTTCTTTATTCTGTGAGTTTGTTTATTATTTTCATCAGTAAAATGGGCATATATTATTTTAATGGCTATTTTAAAATGATTATATCAAAAGATAATTTATGACATTAGATGTATTCTCTGTGTGATATGAGATATTTAATAAAATACAGTAAATGAACAACGCAGTTCTCAATTCAGTGAATACACATAATTTCAATGAAAAAGTTACTAAATAACCAGCGAAATAGTCATAGCAATGTCATATATGCATGATTGCAAATATTTTATTCTTTTAAAGTTTGTTTTTTCCTGATTTTCTGTATTGAATATGCACTTAAATTCTGAGAAAAAATACTAATTATGTATCATTTAAGAACAGAGTCTAGGCCAGGTGCAGTGGCTCACGCCTGTAATCCCAGCACTTCAGGAGGCTGAGGTGGGTGGATCACCCGAGGTCAGGAGTTTGAGATCAGCCTGGCCAACACTGTGAAACTCCGTCTCTACTAAAAATACAAAAATTAGCCGGGTGTGGTGGTACCACCTGTAATCCCAGCTACTCAAGAGGCTGAGGCAGGAGAATCACTTGAACCTGGGTGGCAGAGGTTGCAGTGAGCAGAGATCACACCACTGCACTCTAGCCAGGGCAAGAGTGACACTCATCTCAAAAAAGGGCAAAGTCTAAAATATTAGGAAATTATTTGGGAATAAAAGACTACCTACCTTATTTGAACCACAAGAAGTTCCATCTTTTATCCACATCTTTTGGCTGTCTGCATGATCACTGGCAAATTCCACAGCAATGCAGAGATGTCCACTTATGTTGGCATAAATAATAGTGGCTCTTGGAATTTGTAATAAAAATTTACCTACATATTTACATATTAATTTTCCGCACTGCAGATTGCTATAATTTATCCACAAATAAAAATTATTAATTTTAATTTAGAGAAGTACAAGAATATAATTTTTAAAATAGATAGATTTAAATAAAGTATTCAAGGTTTGCAAGCTAATACATGCAATTCGTTTTAAAACACCAAAAAAAGAGCCTTGCCTAAATTGCCAATAATAACTGAACATTTTAGTAATTAATTATGAACTAAGGTTGGTGCAAAACTAATAGTGGTTTTTGCCACTTTTTTAATGGCAAAAGCCGCAATCACTTTTGCACCAACCTAATATTCCCTAGTTAGCCTGACAACTTTTTTTGTGATTCCTTCACTTTCCTTTGAATCTGAAACAAAATCAAACCCAAGCTCAAATGAATTTAACATCTGTTCACCTTTTCAGTGATTTTAAAAATGAAGATTTCAAGGTCACTCATATTAATTAACAAAAATAACCATTAATTAATACTACAGGGTTATCACTATATATATCACATAGGTAGTATGTCCTACAGATTAATGTGAGCATTTGCCTACAGTACATGCTACAAACCATAAGATTTTTATTTGGCCCTTGCATCCTGTTTGGAATCTTAAATGCTACCACATGACCATTGCTACATCAGAAGATTCAGGAAACCATGGAGGCAGAGAGACTAACCCTAGATCAACTGCATATGTTGAGATAGACAACATATGTTATCTAAATAGCCTCCTAATCAGCAAAATCTCAGCAGTGATGAAAATCTAAATGTCTTCAAGCAATTTTCTATGGCCTGAACTTTTCTCCCTTTGGCCAAAAGAAGACAACGAAAATGGGCAACCCAGCCCCTGAAGTGGCCAGGAGTCATCGAGGAAGGACTTGGAGTTGATAAAAGCTGTTCTGCACTCATAGTGCACACACCAGTTAAACATTAAGTAATTTCATAGAACATCAACCTTAGGCAAAGCCATTCTGTGATCATGAAAGATTAAGAAAATAAGCAAGCTCACTTCATAGATCATGTATGAACACAGAGGAGAAACAAACATTGTCCAAGCCACAGTTACTGGACATTCCCAGGATTCAACTAATATGTGTGACTATTGCTTCTTTAGCAATTACAACTTTAGCTTCACTTTAGTCTTCCCTCTTCATATATAAGATTAAGATATACAATCATACAATTATTAATATCTCTACTTTAAAACATCTAATTTACAGCAAAGGTCTATTTCCTGAAACCTTCCTAAAATCACCTAACCCAAGTCCAAATCTCTAGAACTGGCATACTCCACAATTTCTCATGATGCGATTTCTCACCACTCAACATGTAAAAAAACCCAACTTGCTCAACTACGGCTGCCTTCTTGGTGGTCTTTGGCTGGAAGGCATTGTAGTAAGGTAGAACTGTAATCTGAAACACACATGCTCACACTTTGAAGACACCGGAATGTAACCAGAAAGGAAAGGACTATATAACTGAGCTTTAAGAATGGGAACTGCAGCACCAGATATTCTGTAGATGTGGCTTTGTTTAATAATTTATGAAAGCACATCCAAGGTTGAAGATTCTTAGCTTGAATAATCCCAGGACATTATTAAAATACGGGTCTAATGTCAGTTAGTTGACTGGAAACTTAGACTGAGAACTGAAATCTGAATATAAATTTCAGGTTTATATTCAGCCTGAAACCTGGATGACTACTGAACTAATTAAGCTTGTGTGGTGAAGAATCCAGGGAGCACATAAAAAGCATCTCCCAGAGGCATAACGAAATGAACAATGTTTTCAGCTCCTGCTCAGAGACAGGTTTGCTTTATAGTTTGAGTCCAGCTATGTTAAATCCTTTCCATTACAAAATTCTAGCCTTCAGAAAAGCAAAAGTGAATGCAATTTCCGTTATGTATTAGTCATATTATATGATACAAAGTTAAGAAATATGCTAAACACACATAGAAAAAGTAAAATATAACATAGAGGGCAAATAAATTACTAGATACCAACACCAATACTACACAGACATTTCATTCAGCAGAGAAGCCCTTTAATGCAGCTTATATAAAAAGGATCAATGATGAAAAGGAAAATATAGTCATAATAGCTAGAATTTTCTTTCAGTAAGTATATGCTTTAGCAATTATAAAGCAAATTTCTGTGCATTTGGAACTTGAGTATATGAGGAAGCAACTTGTATACTAAAATGTACTTTATGGCACTTAATTGGAATTAGAATTATCACTAAGTTCATGTCTTAAATTCAGAGATTTACATGAATGAATATGTGATACATGTATGTGCATATATGAAATGCATGTTCTAGCTCCATTGACTGACAGGCTTGAGAGGTAATGAGAAGAAAAAAAAAGAAATAAAGGGCCACCATATCTGAAATTTACTCTCAAATATTTCAGAAAAGCAATTATAAAGCAATATATACATATAGTTACAAAACTGTATGTGTTTATAATGTGTGTATTTGTATATTTGTGTGTATATTATATGTAATGAAAGAGAGAGACAGAGACAGAGACAAAGAGATAGAAAATGATAAGCCAAATGTGTTAAAATGCTAAAATTTGGAAAATTTGAAGGGTATACAGGAATTATTTGCACTATTATTCTAACTTTTATATGTCTGAAATTGTTTCCAAATAAAAACATTAAAAAATAAAAAGTCAGTAAAAATAAAAAAAATTTAAAAAAAAAAGAAATAGTAGACATGCACACAGCTGGTGCTTAGGTATTTATTTTCAAATACCATCTTCTAAGAAAAGGAACCAAGGCTCCTTGGATGAATAGCTGAATCCAGAGCAGAAGTAGAAGAAGCTCAATGCAACCTACAACATCTTTTCTTGTGCTAGAAAAATTTGGAAGTTATTAAAAAGTCCTACAGACTTTTGAAAAGGACACATTAACCAGCTCAAAGGGATTCCCAATAGTCAAAATTAAGAGAATTTGAGAAAGTATCAAAATAATGATAGTAATGTATTTTATCCTATTAAATAAAATAACAATTATTGTGTCTAAACTGATATATATATAGATAAGTAAATAAAAATATAGAAGTGACTACTTCTTCCTACAGTACATTTCTAGATAATAAAGGCAAAGTCAATAATACAGTTAGAAAATCACTAATGGATTTTAAAACTAGTTAGTTAAAGTTTGAGGAGAAACAGAATATGCCCAGGGTCTCAATATAACTCCTCCAAAATTACATATTAAACCCAAAAGGAAAATAGTAATTTCACAGTTGAAAGATTTAGAGAATAATGACTTTATCAAAACATTTAACCTAAAATGTCCAATACTGAAAGAAAATGGCATGTACCTTTAAAAAAATCCAGGGTACAACAACATCACTTCAGTGATAAACATGCCAAAATGTATCACTTACACATAATTATGAAAAATTTCAAAGAAACCTAAATTGTGGGAAAATTCTACAAATTAGTTAACCGATAGTATTAAAAAAAACTAATAAAAAGAAACACAAATAAAAACAAAAATGTTCCAAATTAAAGAACTCTAAAAATACATTAGGAGTAAATGTAAATATCTGACACTGGGTTTGTTCCTGAACAAGGAAAATAGCCTAAAATTACTCAAAACAATGAATGAAATTTCAATATGAACTATGTTTGATAGCTACAATAAGTTATGTAAGAAAATATCTTTATTTTCAAGATAAACACATGGATATATTGAGGAATAAACAAGCACAGTTTTCAACTTACACTCAAACCTTTCAGAAAAATAATTATGAAGAGAGGAGAGGAGAGAAGAGTTGGAACAACAGAAGGGTAAAGCAACAGGAAAAATGTAAACAACCTGTAAACCTAGGCAAAGGGTATATGGGAATTCCTTGCACTATTCACGAAAACTATAAAGTTTATTACAGAAGTTTTACTTTACTTTTGAAATAATATCAACATAAAATTTTACAGCAAAGGAATGGGTATCAGTAACATTCTAGTTCTAATTTATTTATTTATTTTTTATTTTTGAGGTGGAGTCTCGCTCTGTCGCCCAGGCTGGACTGCAGTGGCGCGATCTCGGCTCACTGCAACCTCTGCCTCCCAGGTTCAAGCGATTCTCCTGCCTCAGCCTCTCGAGTAGCTGGGATTACAGGCAACCGCCATCATGCCTGGCTAATTTTTGAATTTTTAGTAGAGACGGGGATTCACCAGGTTGGCCAGGCTGGTCTCTAACTCCTAACCTCAGGTGATCTGCCCGCCTCAGCCTCCCAAAGTGCTGGGATTACAGGTATGAGCTACCCCGCCCGGTCTTCTAGTTCTAATTTACAAAATAATAGTAACAGATAATAGTTAGCACTCATATAGTACATACTATGTATCAGTCACCATTCTAAGTGTTTTTCATACAGCGTCTATGTTTCCCACTGGCACCAAACTGGTGATGCGTTATTAATATTCATATATTACATATTAAAAAAAACTGAAATACGTGCCTGAGGTCACACAAATAGGTAAAGAGTGGGATTAGGATTTAAAATCAAAATGTCTGGCTGTAGAGCACATGTTCTTAAATACCACGCTTTGGCCAGGCGCGGTGGCTCACGCCTATAATCCCAGCATTTTGGGAGGCCGAGGCAGGTGGATCACGAGGTCAGGAGATCAAGACCATCCTGGCTAACACGGTGAAACCCCGTCTCTACTGAAAACACAAAAAATTAGACGGGCGTGGTGGCAGGCGCCTGCAGTCGCAGCTACTCGGGAGGCTGAGGCAGGAGAATGGCGTGAACCCGGGAGGCGGAACTTGCAGTGAGCCGAGATAGTGCCACGGCACTCCAGCCTGGGGGAGAGAGTGAGACTCCTTCAAAAAAATAAAATAAAAAAATAAAAAAAAAACACATTTTGCTCCTTAAGCAGTAAAAATTCGTGTATTTTAACTTCTTTACTATGAGGATTGTCATGCTTTGTAAAAATTAAAGTAATAGCACCACTGCATTCCAGCCTAGGCAACAGAGTGAGACTCCATCTCAAAAAAAAAAAAAAAAAAAAAAAAAAAAATTAAAGTAATAGCATGCACAATAAAAATGATTACTGATGGGTAATTAATGTACCTGTATGAAAACTAAACACTTTGTGGAAAAGTACAAGGGATAATTTGGTTATAGGAGAGGAGAAATGTGTCTATGATATTTATAATTTGAATAAACATGGTCTTACTTTATGTTCAGGGGATATTTTGCTTACATAAACTTAATTGTTTGATGGTATTTTCAAATATAAGGTGATAAATAGAAGTTCTAAGACAGATTTCTGAAAACATACTCAGCTTCACACTGTGTGTATCCTGAATCACTTATACCACAGTTTCCAGATACATCAGTCTTTGAATTAAGGTGAGAATAACATTCTGAAGGGCCAAACTCTACTTCTGAAAATAAAAAGGTGAGGTTAGTCATATTAAACTTATATTAATTAAAAATAAATAACAAATACACTTAAAATTCTGAAAGGGTTTAAGATATTCATTGTACAAAATAAGATCATACTATAACATTCAAAATAAAAACTAGATTTAAGATCACACAAAACTACTTCAATGAAATGTTTAAAAATTGAAAGGACTCTGGTCTACTATTCAAAGACATATCCTAGACATACTCCAGAGTTAGCCACTGTATTGTTTAACCTCTAATCATAGTAAGTCTATAAATGCATATCTATTAGTACGTAGGAAACTTTTTTCACATAATTGACTTATTTGTCAAATAAACAGTTTTAGCATGAATGTCTTTTCAAGTCAAACAACTAACCAATTATCTTGTTTTACATCATAATTTCCTTAGACAAGAAATATATTGGAGTCACAATTGATTCATTCACCCTCCCATCATCCAATCCACATGCATAATCTGTATAATTTTAATTCTCATAAGATCCAACCTACATGGCCGGGCGCGGTGGTTCATGCCTGTAACCCCAGGACTTTGGGAGGCCGAGGCGGGCGGATCACGAGTTAAGGAGATCGAGACCAGCCTGTCTAACACAGTGAAACCCCGTCTCTACTAAAACTACAAAAGAAAATTAGCCGGGCATGGTGGCAGGCGCCCGTAGTCCCAGCTACTTGGGAGGCTGAGGCAGGAGAATGGCGTGAACCCTGGAGGCAGAGCCTGCAGTGAGCCGAGATCGCGCCATTGCACTCCAGCCTGGGCGACAGAGCGAGACTGCGTCTCAAAGGAAAAAGAAAAAAAAGCTTCAACCTACTTAAAAAGCAGTTTATTTCTCATAACCTCCAACTGCTCTACTTGATGGACTCGGTCAAAAATCTTTGACAGGGAGACTTAACCACTACATAATGTTGCTGCAGCATGAATGCTCAATAACAGAGTGGACAGACTCAGATCTCAGCTGCGACCCACAGATGATGTAGTGAACTGAAAAGTAAAAGTTCATTTTGTCCCAGAGGTCATTTGCAAGGCTGGTTATGGGTAAGAAGTCAAAATTTTAACCTTGGCTATGGTAGCAAGCCATTGCTGGTAGACAAAAAATAGGCCAAAACAAAGAAAGCCGCAATCTACAGATCAAAATGAATTTTAGGCATCCAAGAGAAACTACTGAAAGACGGTGTGATGATACATTTTATGTATCAACTTGGTTAGGCTATAGTCTCAAGTTATTCAATTAAACACTAATCTAGGCATTGCTCTGTAGGTATTTTGTAGGTGTAATGAAGTCTACAATAAGTTTATTTTACTTAAGAAATATTATCCTAGATAATGTGGATGGGCCTGATTCAATTATTAATAGTTGAAAGACCTTTACAGCAGGCTTCCCTGAAAAAGAAAAAAATTCTGCCTGTGGACTTCAATTTATGCTTAAAATTTCTATTCTGCCCTTTTAATTGTCTTGCCCTACAGATTTCAGGCTTGCCTAGCCAGCCCCACAATCTGATCAGCCAATTATTTGCATAGATATATACACAAAATTTTATATACAATAAAATATCTATATACCTATATCTATCTATCTACAGAGAGGAAGAGAGAGTGCAGAATTACATATCCAATGGATTTTGTTTCTCTGGTGTAGTTCTGGTTGATAGAATTGATAAACAAAGGGGTCGGTGATGTTTTAACTTGGGCATATTCTCATTTGTTCTCAGTGTCTCATGACAGATGAAAGCCAGCAGGCTTACAGCTAATGAAGAGGTCACATCTCCGTTGGAGCTCTGTGAAAGCGCTATGCCCAGAGGCAGCCAATAATTTATCTAAATATTTTATCTAAACTTTCCATTCCCTGGAAAAATCTCTGTTACCAGGTGGCTAGGGCTACTTGATTTGATTTAGAGCTCAGTTAAGTGAAAAAAAAAATGAATAAAAAAAATCTTGGCTTTCAGAGTGAGGTAAATTAGATAGGTTGGTCATAGCATCCCTTAAATGAGAACAAACTTGCAAAATAGATGGCGAGAATAAACCTCCCAACAGTGCAAAAACTGCATCCTGGGATACTGGTTAGAACATCCTGCAGCAAGGAGGTAAAGAAACATAAGGGAAAACACCCAAATTGGTTCAAGTGCAGAAACCCATGATTTGTGTCCTTGGAGTGACCTATGTTCATTATAATAGTAAAAAAGGCACCCTTGGGTGGAGAATTAAAATGCTAATGAGAAATGTGATGCATGTACTGGCATGTACAGCAATAGCACATGTGCATTCAGGAGACCACCTACAACATGCTAAACAACAATGCCCACTCCCACCCTTTTATGAATAATCATGTTAGGCTCCAATAAAGGGAGTTTCCTCAATGCCAACCGACGCTCTTATTCTTGTGCAGCCTGCTATCAGAGCGTACTTTGCTTTGCAATGAACTTCTTTATTTACTTTCCCTTTGGACTTGCTCTCAAATTCTTTTCGGCAGTGAAGTAAAGAATCTGAACCGGTTCACTGACAACAAAGGCATTACTGAAATAATATAAATCTGCTACCAACATCACCAGTGCCTAAGGCTGTGATTTCAGTTGAGGCAAACAAGAGCTCACTGGAAATTTTAAAGGAATTCCTGGAGAGTTAGATGACTATGTGAAACAGAATAGCTCAAACCTATTGTTCACTCTGGGTCAGATTTATCAGTCACAAAATGATTAGCTGTTTTTCAGTTGCCATCGACCCCCAGGTTGCCAATCAAATAGTCTGAACCTGAGCAGGCTGGAACTGAAGTACTCAGTTTGAAATATTCAAATCTAGGAGCATGGAACAAATTAAGAAGCAAAGGGTCAGATGCAGTGGCTCACTTCTTTAATTCCAGCACTTTGGGATGCCAAGGCAGGAGGATTACTTGAGACCAGAAGTTTGAGACCAACTTGGGCAACACAGCAAGACCTCACCTCTACAAAAAAAGAAAAAGAAAAAATAGTGGGCATGGTGACATGCATCTGTAGTCCCTGCTACTTGGGAGGCTGAGGCAAAAAGATCACTTGACCTTGGGAGTTGGAGGCTGCAGTGAGCTGTGATTGCATCACTGTACTACAGTTTGGGCAAGACCCTCACTGCCCTCTTCCCCTCAAAAAAGAAGGGAGGGGAGTCCTGTTTTATTGCAGTAAAAACTTAAAAGCTGAGGACCTGGCACCGCCTCTTTGCATGACCAAATCAGAGCCTTTCTCATCTCTCTCATAGTTACCATCTGCCTATATAACCTGCCCCCAGACGCCAGCTTAAGGAAACAGATTTGAGCATTGCCTTTTGTCTCCTTGCTGGTGGACCTCACAATAAAGCTTTCTCTTTTCTTGGAAGCTGGTGCTATTAGTGTTGGCCTCTATGCACATCCGGAAGTGAACTCATTGCTTGGTAACAATGTAACTGGATCTAAAATGCTGCACACAGGCCAGGCGCAGTGGCTCAAGCGAGTAATCCCAGCACTTCGGGAGGCCCAGGCAGGCAGATCACCTGTGGTCAGGAGTTCGAGACCAGCCTGGCCAACATGGCAAAACCCTATCTCTATTAAAAAATACAAAAATTAGCCGGGTGTGGTGGTGTGTGCATCTAATCACAGCTACTCAGGAGGCTAGGAGGCTGAGGCAGGAGAATCACTGGAACACGGGAGGTGAAGGTTGCAGTAAGCCAAGATCACACCACTGCACTCCAGCCTGAGCGACAGAGCAAGACTCCGGCTCCAAAAAATAAATAAATAAATAAATAAATAAATAAATAAATAAATAAATAGCTGCACACATACCTAGAATAGTTCTGAGAACAGAGAGTTTTCTAGTCACTCCTTACTCTATGATGTTTAGGTCCTGAACAAGCAGGAAGTGAAAGCTAAGGCTGTCTTATAAACTGCTTGAAGTTTGAATCTGTCTTCTCATAGAGATACTTTTGGCATAGGGTAGAAAACATATAGCCAAGGCATTAAAGGAAATTGGAAAGACTATTGGTGGCCACTAAATAATACTGATGTAGAGTGCTCCTTAGGAAGCACTCTGGGTCCATATAATTGAAAGAGAAGACTCAAATAAATAAAATCTGAAATGAAACAGAAAACATTACCACTGATACTACAATGATACCTTATGATATGAAGAATATAAGAGACATATATAAATAGAACAACTATATGCCAACAAATTTGATAACAGAAAAAATAGATAAATTCCTGGACACATCCAACTTACGAATATTAAATTATGAAAAAAGTAGAAAATCGGAATACACCAACGATTGAGGAAATTAAATCAGTAATTAAAAAGTTTGTCTTTTGCTCCCTCTTCTTTCTTTCTGCCTTTCTGTCTCTTTCTGTCTCTATTTTCCTTCTTTAATCTGAAAATCATCCACATTGTGGTACCAAATTACCCATTTTCCCAGGACAACACTTTTTCATTTTGTAAGTTTCTTTCTTTGCATCTTTGTTTTGTTTTTCTTCAAACCAACAGTCATTCCTAATTTTATGTTCATTTTGGTTAGTGATAAGTGCTTTGCAATCCCTTTTTACACAGAAATTAGAGTTAGACTTGCAACTTGTTCCAGTTGAGAATAAAGGTGACCACCTATCTGTTTCTATGAACATCCTAAATGTTTCCTCTGTCAATTGTTCCTGATTTTTTCGATATGGGGATGAAATACTGTTGGCATTGTTGCTGTTTCCATATTATTTAGCAAACAATTTTGTATATAGTTTGCACCATGGTTTTCTTTTTTGTTTTTAACGTCAGTGCACATCATCCCTCAATAACTTCAGAGTCCCTGGATTTTCATGAAATTTCCTTATTGTTTCCACAGGTGATTTTATGCACCTGAATGTGTGTGCCTGCATTAAATGTGGTTTGAACTGTATTTATATGACAACTTATAATTACTTTAATGTCTATAGTCATATTACTTATTCCATATTTACCAAAACAAGGGATGGATA
The DNA here is from genome assembly GCF_000001405.40 of Homo sapiens. Lineage (NCBI taxonomy): Eukaryota > Metazoa > Chordata > Mammalia > Primates > Hominidae > Homo > Homo sapiens. Next base: position 39,766,258 of record NC_000008.11, read on the forward strand.
TGAAGTAAAAGTATAGTTTGTGTTCTCTCTACTTTCTTCCTTCTTGAACTCAGAAGTCCCATAGACTTTGAATCTTTCCCTCTATTATTTTGATGAAAGTAATTAATAATGTAATGATTTCACTTTTAATTAAATTAATTTTTAATTTCTAGCTACTGATATTTTTTCTGACAGTATTCTCTTTTTTTTTTTTTTCTTTTGAGGTGGAGTCTCACTCTTTCTCCCAGGCTGGAGTGCAGTGGCGTGATCTCAGCTCACTGGAACCTCAGCCTCCTGAGTAGCTGGGATTACAGGCATGTGCCACCACTTGCGGCTAATTTTTGTATTTTTAGTAGAGACAGGTTTTTGTCATGTTGGCCAGGCTGGTCTCAAACACCTGATCTTGGGTGATCTGCCCGCCTCGGCCTCCCAAAGTGCTGGGATTACATGCGTGAGCCACCGCGCCTGGCCGTATTCTTCTCTTTCTATAATTCTTTAGAATATTTAAACTAAATGTGACATTTTAAAAATCACAATCATGTATCAGCATCTATTTCTGTTCAGTTTCCAGAAAAAAACGCATATATGAGAAATCAAATGATAATAAATACCTTTGCCAAATGTGTCTGTACATTGTTTATCCCCACTCATACAAACTCCATCTATACAGATCCATTGATTCAGTCCACACGGATGCCCAGTCTGAACATAGTGGTTTTCTGGGCATGATGCAGATGATCCATTGCAATATTCAGGGAGGTCGCATTCTTCAAAGGAAGGCCTACACATTCTTTCTTTTGACATAAACTGATGGGATGAGGTAAATGATATTGAATTAAGCAGAATGAGAATACATAAGCATAATAATGATAACTACTTATGTAGGTAATATTGAAATTTTTCAAAAAGCTCTTACTAGACAGTTTTCGCAGCATGGTCCTTCAGCACAGTTTGAACCGGCTTTAAATCTACATGTGGCAATATCACAGCATGTTTCTCCAATAAGGGCACAATCCTGTAAGGCAAATCAAATGCTCTGAAGTATTTTCCAACTTGTATTCATATTGGACAGGCATGTTCATAAAGACAACATATTATATAACATACACATAGGTGCTTAACTTACATGTTGGCAAACAGAAAAATAAAACCACTTATTCATTTACTTAACAGACATTTATTAATTACCTACTAATTGCCAGACCATGTGTTGCTCATATTGCTATAATAGGTTTGGTTACACTGATAAAAGGATTCTCTGAAGCCCTGGGGTCCACCATAGCCAAGTCACTGAGAAGAGCTCTGGCTCTTGTAGACAGAGATAGTTAAATACAAGACGTAAAATAAACAGAAGTTATAATTTAAAAATTATATTGCAGTGACTACTTCTTATTAGAGTCTTCTGAATATAATATTTTAACAAGTTTCTGCATTTTATGGTATATTGTTGATTTATTTCATTTTTAACTCCCTAATTAAGGTCTGGAAAATGATATTATTTCTGAGAATGCTGAAGTTGTCACCTTTATATCATTCACTCATATCTTATTATGCCTTGTTTTATGCTTTAGTTCATCTATGCCCAGTGAATATGCTTTTAAAACTTCTATTACTAAAGTTAGTAAAAGCAATAGATAAGAAGGCTAAAAGACAATGCATTCACACACACACACACACACACACACACACTCACATTTTTTAAATACCCAGAAATTTAAAATAGGGTAAATTGGAAAAAGAAATTTGATAAATCACAAAAAGATAAATCATGAGTTTAGTAGTCTTCATATGAGTTATAGCAAGATACTTGGAAGCACAGAGTTGTCAGTATTTTTCACAGCTATTCTAAGAATTGTCACTGTCATTGCTATCTACTGTAATTCTAGAGGGGAAAGTTATATCTCAGTGGTTTAAGCCTCAATTATATAACATTTCGAGAGCTTAGATACATGATTGTCAAATTGAAGAAGAAATTTTCAAGATGTTTCCATTCAAACCCAACCAAGCAAAAACAAGTGGGTGACGAGGAACAATTTTTTAAAAACATATCACATATCTCAGGATCTATAAACATACTTTTAAGGTTGGAAGGCTACATGAGTGACCATTGTAGGGCACAATGAAGTCTACTTAGTCTTTGTGATCCTTTTGAGCCTGTACCATTCACTATGAGTTTCAATATCTCCTTTCCCTTATTTCATTCCCTTTATCTCTGCTCTCCTCACCTCCCTTCAACCCAGGTGCTTTATCTAAGATTTCTGTGGTTTGAGAAAACTAGCTCTTCTTAATTATGTATGTTACAAATCTTTTTGACTTAAATATCGACCTGGATTAAAATATTCAAAAACCACAAATGTACTCCCTAGGTTTTCTGGCTCCATAGTGAAAGCTTTAAAATATCTCTCTTTCTGAACAACAAAGGAATTTAGGTTAAATACTAGTTTTAAATTTTAGGCTTAAAAACTAGGGAAGTATATACTCAAGAGGAAAAGATTGAACCTACATCAACTCAGCTATGAAATTAGTGGCCTTGAAAATTGCTTATATGAGAGATTAGAATGGTGCTTACCAGGGACTTCAGGGAGGGGAAAATAGGGAGATGATGGTCAAGGGGTATAAAATTTCAGTTCTGCAAGATGAATACGTTCTAGAGATCAAACATGACTACAGTTAACAATATTGTATCATATACTTGAACTTTGCTAAGAAGGTAGATTCTTAGTGTTCTTGTCAGAAAGGAAAATTTTTGAAAAGCAAAAGAAAAGGAAAAAATAAAATGCTATGGTGAGATTACAGGTATGTTAGTTATCTAGATTTTAGTAAATATTTCAAAATGTACTCATATACTCAATCATCAAGTTGTATAACTTAAATATATACAATTTAAAATTGTCAGCTATACCTCAAGAAAGCTAGAATAAATAAAGGAAAATTACCTGTATATTCATACAAATCCACGTAGATCCACAAAGCACTGAAGCACTACACCAATATATATAAGTGCACTCATTAGTTGTTATAATACCTACATGCCCTCCTGAATCATTTGCAGAAAATTTAGCTTGATGAATTAAGGAAAATGGCAGTTTCTCACTCGAATTAATAAGTAATTTTTGCTGCAATTTCAGTGCGTAGTCTTCCGAATTAGTACCAACCTGTTCAGTCCCACAGTCACACTCCTCTCCTGCTTCCAGCTTTGCATTACCACACACTGCTTGCTGTTTGAAAAAAGGATCTAAGCGAGGCTGATTGTGAAGACACTGGGACTTCTGCTTTGAAATAAAATGTGCAAAGTCTTCGAAGCTGCAGTTACTAAAGATCTTCACACCACTGAAATGACTAAAGACACATCAAACGTCAAATTTTAATGTAAGGGTTTCCATAAACTACCTACCCTTAGAATAAACCTATACAACAGCATTCCACAACAGACCAAATTCCCAAGTCTGTGAGTGTCAATGCTTTCAATCTCTGTGCATGGGAAGTCAACTGTGCAAGAATGTAAATATTTTAGTGGAAGTAAATTACTAATCCATAAAGTTTTATTGGCTCTCCTATGACACTTATTCATGACACTGCTCTCTCTTGTTTAAGCTCCTATTTTCCAAAGTGCCCCATGCTGTTTCATTTGTGCTCTTTCTTTTTATAACTTCTAAGTGCTGGGACACCCCTGTATTAATAAAGAAAACAGGCTTTTCTTTTTTTTCTTTTTTCTTTTTTTTTTTTTTGAGACGGAGTCTCACTCTGTCACCCAGGCTGGAGTGCAATGGCATGATCTCTGCTCACTGCAATGTCCATCTCCCGGTTCAAGCAATTCTTCTGCCTCAGCCTCCCAAGTAACTGGGATTAGAGGGACACGCCACCACGACCTACTAATTTTTGTATTTTTTTTAGTAGAGATGGGGTTTCACCATGTTGGCCAGGCTGGTCTAGAACTCCTGACCTCGTGATTCGCCCACCTAGGCCTCCCAAAGTGTTGGGATTACAGGCGTGAGCCAACGCGCCCAGCCCAGGCTTTTCTTTTTTTAAGAAATCTATATTTATTCATAGGTTATTTTATCCATGTCTATAGTTGCAAATAGCGTCTATGCCCAATAGCTCCGATATTTGTTTCTCTGGCGTTATCACCTGAACTCAAGTCCAGAGTCTAATGCTTTATTCAGTGTTTCTTCTTAAGTGTATTTTATTGGCACCTTAAATATAAATTCCCAACACTCTTGATTCTTCTCCCCAAAAACACCCCTCACAAAGTATAACACAGTGTTTCAGAATGTGGACTCTGTGGCCAATCAAAACAAATGAGTTAAAGTCTTGGTTTTGCCATTTACAGGTTGTTTGTCCTTGTAAAAGATTTTAAAATTATATGCAGTTTAGTTTCCTCCTTGCAATATGAAGATAAATGTTTTATTTATCTCATAAAGTTGTGAGAGTATCATACATGTAAAGTACTAAAAACTGTGCCTATCCATAGTTTGTACTCCTAATATTTTCAAATTCACTACAGGGAAATTCCAACTGCCTAGTTGCTCAGGACAGAAACCTTGAGGTTATCTTATATTTCTCACAAACCCCTTATCTGCCATGAAATTTTGTCAAATCTGTCTACTTTCTATATATTCAATATGTGTTCTCCACAACAACCACTTACAGACTTTATGGTCTTTCACTACAGATTAATGCAATAGCCTACTAGCTCATCATATGCTTTGATTCTTGCCCTTTGCATTTTTTTCCTCAAAACTCAATCAATTATGTTTCCTAAAAAAGTGGCAATTTCATATTACTTCCATGTTTAAATTCACCTATAGTTACTCAATCATTCAGAGCAAAATCAGTGCGATGTATTCACCAACTCCTCCGAGGTCATTCTCCTCATCAACCTCAACTCACTCTGCTCAAATAGGTGGACCTCTTACTGTCCCCTCCATCAAATAGTCTACTATTTCCTCTGCCTGGAAAACTATTCCTTAGTATGCATGCATGGTTCCCTTTCATTCATTTCACATGTCTATACAAAATTTATGCAAACGGATATTTCCAAGCACACTTTAAAAATACCGCTTCCTTACTACCCTTTATTCCCCTTACTGACATTTGTTTTACTTCAGAATATTTACCAACAACTGGAATGTTACTAATTTAATCATTCATTAACTATCTTCTGCTAGTTCTTTTAAAGGAGTGCACTATTGAAACCACTTACTATAAATAATAAAGTTTAATTTTGTTATAATTTTGATTATTCTAAGTAGTATTAACAATGTTTAAAAAGATTATAATCACGATGGCCTATATTTTGATGGAAGACATTGTTAATAGGAATGTGATGAGTTTTAAGGTAATAAACTTGATGGTATCAAACTCTAGTCATTTGGATTATCACAAGAAAATGTTATTCACTCGAAGACCTCGAATAAATTTAGAATTTTTGAAAAAACTAACAGTGTTGGTATGACTTTTTGTGTGGTTGCATCCTGGCTGAACATCCCCTTCAGTTCCATCAACCTTAAATAATGAATTTATTATAAATTGCCAAGAATTCAAATGATTACTATCTAAATACAAGGAACCATATAGAAAAAAACTGATAGAAATTTAATATTACTGAGAACCAGGCAATGCAAGATACATTTACCATGTGTGAACTGGTTTATAGAGTATACACTTTCTGGTAATGAAATTAACATTGTCATTAGAAAGTCAAATACGGGAGGGATAGCATTAGGAGATATACCTAATGTAAATGACCAGTTAATGGGTGCAGCACACCGAAATGGTGCATGTATACATATGTAACAAACCGCACGTTGTGCACATGTACCCTAGAACTTAAAAGTATAATAAAAAAAAAGAAAGAGGGGAGAGAGAACGGTAAAAAAAAAAAAAAAGAAAAGAAAGTAAAATATCAAGCATAATTGCATCCGATTAGAGTACTTTTTTGCAGCTTGAATCTTCATGGAGATTTGCTGGATGCTTTCATTCTCTATTCTCTCACTTTTTTTTTATAATGGAGCCTCTGGTTGTTAGTTGAATGCATGACTTCATTGTACAATGTCTAAATTTCTCAGTTTTTAATAAATGAGTGAACATATATAGAAGTCAAATAATTGACCTAAGATGAGCCATAAGTTCAAGTTCTAGGAGGTAATGAGATAGACATGTTTTTGTAAGCTCCTTTATCCAATTGGTCACTTTAAATTTGGTTAATTGTTGTAATTAAAACTTCCATTAGGGATATGAGATTATTTTGGGAATGGAAGCCACTGTGTAGAAATACAGTGTGAAATTATACTGTGAAACATCACACAATTAAAAGAATGGTAATTTCTCAAAATAAACTTTTCTTTGATTGTAGCCATTATTCCTTTGTGTTTTCTGTAACTTGCAGCAAAATCTAAATACAGACTTAATCCCAATATAGATCTCAATCAAGATATTTCTTTATCAACCACATTTCAACCATTCATTTTCTCACCACAAAATTACAAAGTATTTGCAAAAGAATGAAATGTTCTAGTAACAATACAACACAAAATAAAAGAATGGAGCATCTTTTTCCTTAATCCATAATCAAAACATCAAAACATGTGTCTAATATTTTGTATTTTAAAAAAAGTACGATTCGCTAGGAAGAATATTAATATAACCTATATTTAAATATAATTTTGAAGGAATTACTACAGGCATCTTAATTACTAACTAAAAACAGAAAAATAACACCTCAACACATTCTCTCACTTTCTGTTGTACATGATGGAAGGAATCAATTTGAAAAAATGAAAAACAAAGAAAGACAAAACTAAACACAATTATTAAATAAGTCTCATGAAATTCAAAAGATAGACATCTAGAAAGTATATTTTTGGACCACAGCAGATATTAAATCAGATAACAAAAAGATACTTAGGAAATCCACAAATATTTGAAAATCAACTAACCTACATCTAAAATAGCTAGACAAAGAAGAAATCACAAAAAATTGAAAATATTTCAACTAACTGGAAATGAAACACAAAGTATCAAAAACGTGTGGTGTGTAATTGAAGGTCAAGTTCTAGGAACTTGTGATTAGAGAGAAATGCACAGCTTTAAAGGGTTTACACAAAAAGAAGGGAGGTTATTTGAATTTTTACATTAAAAATCTAGAAAAAAGATGAATAAACTTACCACAAACTAAGTAGAAATAAAGGAAAACAAAGTAGATAGGCCATGGGAAAGAGTCAATGTAATTAAAATATGATTCTTTAAAAAAATTAATTAATTTGATAAAATCTAAGTTAGAGTGATTATAAAAAGAAACTCAAATGATCAGTACCAGAGATAAAAGAGGGCATATCACAAATTATCCCATTGACTTTTAGGGGAAAATAAATGAAAGCTATAAAAGATTTTATGAAAAATTAATCAATTTTGAGGAAACAAAATATTTATTAGAAAAGGAAAAATAACCAAAATCTAAATATCTCAAAAATGACCAATTAAACACCTTTCCAAAAAGAGTTATCCAGTTCCGGACAGCTTCACTGATAAATGCTATCAAACAATTTAGAAAGAAATAGTATCAATAGTACAAAATCTCTTTTAGAAAGTTATATGAAGCCCGTGTAACTGTGATACTAAAACCAGTCAAAGGAATTGCAAGAGAATTACTACTAAAGATCTGTATCACTCATTAATATACAGGCAAATATACTTTGCCAATATTAGGGGAAAAAATCCAGCTACAAAAAGGATTAATACATTAAAAGGATAATTCCTCATTCCTTGATGCAGTTTATCCCAGAAAAGCAAGATTATTTAAACAATTAAACATGAATAAAATGTATTTCAATGTATCAACAGAATAAAGTAGAAGAAACACATGAGCATCTCAATATTTGATAAAATATATTCATAATGAAAACTCTGATAAATGAGGGTTACAAAGCTTTCTCAATCTGATTAAAAGTCTCTCTGTAAAACCTTCAGTTAATGTATTTATTGGTGAAAAGTTACAAGTCTTGCTCATAAATCAGAGTGAAACAAAGACAGCCACACATCAAACTTTTGTTTTAAATAGTACTCGAGGCCCTAAGCACTGCGATAAGGCAAGATATAGATGTTTTAAAAATATAAAGATCAAAAAGGAAGATGTATTTATAATATATAATTACATGTGAATACAATTCTCATGAGACTAAATTAGAAGTTCCAGAATAGAATATGTTAGTGTAGCAAAGCTGCAGGATACAAGCTCAATAAAAATTAATCAATACCATTTCTATATACTTGTCACAAACAATTGCAAATTTCATAGTCTCATAAACATGGTGCAATTAGAAAAACAATAAGAAACCTATTTCCAAAGGAAAAATAAAAAACAAAACTAAGGAACAGGTCCCAACCATGATGGGAATAACTTATCAGGCAACCTAACAAAATTACCTGTTTCAAAATTGAACAGAGAATACTTTGACATTATCCAAGAGGATGTGGAGGGCCCAAAGAACTTCTTATATTTGTGATTTTCTTATCCTTCCTATCTTTTCTTTACCATTACAACTATTGTAATCATTATAATCAACATTGTAAACAGCTATATTGTGGTTGAGATAAATAAAAGTTTAATGAATAATGCTCAACATTATTAATACAAACTATATAAATGTCATCTGTCTTTGTTTAGATTGGCCAGGAGAAAATACTCTAAAGCATGAACTTGATTGTAGGAATTTTATGTGGGTGGTGATTCTAGGAAGCAGGAATAAGGGTGTAAGGATGAAGAAAGAGAGGGGGAGGAAAGGTCGATATCAGCATGTATTATTGAGATGGCAATAATGACTTCTTTCTGCGGGGCCCACAGGAAAATGTACAGAATATCTTACAGAATTTTCCCTAGTTGGTCAGGAATCTGGTGTTTCACTAAAGTGGCTGAAGTTTGCTCCTAGAGAAGGAGTGCGTACATTTCATTTTAAGACTTTTTTTTAGAGTGTCCTAGGAAAAAGGCTGGTTGACATTCATAGATGTCAAAGACCTGGTCCTTGAGTGCTTCTTTTGAAGTAAACGCTGTTCTGGTGGAACTTGAAAATAAACATCTGAATGTGTTGTGCCCATTCTAAATAAATCCACATACTTCTTCCCTACACTTTCTTGTCTTTAAATGTCCAGTTTTATAGCATCTAGATCGTTCACCAAGTATCCAAGCTATTTGCCACAGCATAGGAATCTGTGTAGATTCCAATCTCTGGCACTTCTCTCATACAAGGTGGAAAACCCGATATATTGTTTACAAATATGTGCATGGGGCATGGGGACATTTACCATCCCCACAGTCTTTAGGTCTAAATCTAATAGGACTCTATATGAAACTGACTTTTAAAAAATACTTCAACTAACATATTAAAATTGGACTGAGGTTTGTTTTTCTCCATCAACCAGTTTTAGAAAATCCCTACAAGGATATTAGTGTATGGTGACTGAGAAATATTGGTGCAATAGATGTAGGTGACATGAAGATCTGGGATCCCTATTCCCTTATTTACTTGTACTCTCTGGACCTTCTCTAGCTTGCTCCCAGATTTACCATTTTGGTCATCAGATAGATTGATATGCTCACTTGATCTTATACATATATTTTTGTGGCTCTAAAACACCTCTTTTATGATGAAAACAGTAAACTTCAATAACATAGCAACTTACTATTTCCTAGATGCATGCTCAAGGCTGCAAGAGCCCAATAGCCCATTGGAAGCTATAGCAGAACTACAGGTCTGCACTGCAAATCTCCTACTGATACTTGCCAGAGATTCCACATGTATGTAATCTACCAGGAATATCCTTAGTAACATTGTATTTAAATAATCACAAGAACCAAAGACAAGCCGTCTTGCACCACAGCCTGGACCTGCTGCAGTGCACTTTTCACATTATCTTTTGCCAGAGGTGCCCTTGTTGCTATCAGATCATGTATTGATGTAGGCCCACAATCCTTTCATAAAGGTTTGTTTTCTAAAGCCACTCTGGGGTAACTATTTTAGGACAGGTCCCCCATCCCTGCCACCCCAAAAATCAGAGCCTGAGACAAGAACTTAAGCACAAATATTTTAGGGAGCAGCAGTGCGGGAATGGAGACAGTGAGATGTTTCCTGCTGCAGGCAATGAGGCTTGATTCTCTAACACATCTGAGAAACAAAGAATGCCTCCAAGAATATCCATCAGAAAGATAAAAGGCTGGCTCCAGTTACTGCCTGGTTTCCTTAAATCCCCTGGCTATTTGATCGTATTTCTACAAACATTCATAATGTACTATAAGAATAATGTTGATATCAGCAAAAAAAATTCACTAGATCGTTGAGGCCTGATTAGAATACTGCAAACGACTTTCTCTCATGACAAAGAAAAAGCTGAATGGCAGCATCTCTGAAATCAACAGATGCTGAGACTTCAGGCTGAACCAAGGCAAGTTGAAGGAGACTCATGCAGACAAGTTCATACTAATAAATACTTTTTGTGTAGTGATCTCAAGCTTGCATTTGGCTTATCAAATTATGCATCAAATTGTAAAATTATACAAGTAAACATATTGATAAATGTAGTGTTAGATCACATGTGAGAAAGCCAGTGTGACATTTGATTACAAGTGATATTGAGATAAATATGCATCGTGGGCATTGGAATACACATTTTGGTCCTGGAGTCCTCAGTCACAGCTGATCGCCATTATTATTTAACAACTTAAACTTTCTTCAACTAAATACATTAAAATTACATTAAACTATATATGTAAAGTATAAAAGTCAGAAATCTTACATTGCTTCTGGATTCATAATGCAGACAGCTCCTGAGCACTGGCATTTGTTAATGTCATCATAAGTGATCCCCATACTAAGGCTCAATAATTGAGCTAAAATAACTGCAAGTGATTCCAGACTTATGGTTCTGGGGTGCTGAGAAAAAAAAATAGATGTACACGTTTTGGGAGATTATTTTGTTTACTGGGAGAACAATGCAATTATTAAAGATCACATGATAAAATGGAATAGGGGCATCTGTTATCCCAAAAGTGCCATCCTTGTTGGTCTAACTCATTATAAATGTAAGAAAATTATGAAAAATAAAATCTGAAGTTTTATCGGTATGTAAATGGATGACTCATTTGGTGGCCTCAGACAAAGAAAAAAAATTGCCCCAGGAATTTGTTAGCTATGTCTAACAACAATTACAGTCATATTTATATTCACAAAAGATAATATCTAAAGATAAATGCATAGAAAAACATAGTGTCAAATTATGAAATTTGGTCATTACCAGAGGCTGGGAAGGGTAGTACAAAGTGGGGGATAAAGAGGAGATGGTTTAATGAGTAGAGAAACACAATTAAATAGAATAAGGTCTAGTATTTCTAGGACAATAGTGTTACTTCAGTTAACAACACTTACTGTATATGTTGAAATATGTGAGTGGAATTGAAATGTTCCTAATGCAAAGAAATGATAAAGGCTTGAGGTGATGGATATTCCAATTATCCTAATTTAATCATTACACATTGTATGCCTGTACCAAAACATCACATCTCCCCATAAATATGTATAACTATTGTGTACCCATAATAAAAATTAAAATTAAAAAAATTGATTCCTCAATGATAATATTTTATATAGCCATTTCATAAATGTTTTTATAAACTCATAAGTTAACTCACTGAATTAATTAATATTACGGTAATAATGACTGATATAAGAATTCTGACTTTTCAGTTGTTTCAATTTTATTGGGAAAACTAAAATATATAATTTATATTTATATAATTTTAATATATAATTTATATATTAATTATATATTAAATTATAAACATATAATTTAAATTTATAACTTCTCTTTTTGTAAGAGTAAGATGCTTATTATAGCACATTTTGATCACACTATAACATGAATTTTGGGAAAAATCCACATATCCTGCTACCCCTTCAAATATATCTACTAACATTTTGATGAATATACTTCATGATAGGTTTCTAGGTATACATTTTGATTTCTTCTGTTGCCTCTCTAAGTCAGTTTTCCATCATTTTCTACCTTGCCCTCCACCCCAAAAAGATGACACAAATGGATTATGTCAGAGGGATGCTTTGCCCTTGAGTTTTACCTTGATTTTTTCTAATGGAGAGAAGAGAATGAGATGTGAATGAAAGTGAGGTATTTACTACATCATTGCAAGGATGCTTACGTCTCTTTGAACCCTTGATGGGACATCTACCTTCTGTCTGTGACTCTGATAAAATGACTCTCTTCCCTCCATCAACACTTGGTACCAATTAAAGTTCTTTATTACTTGTGTGGAGGTACTGCAAAGGCTCTACATTTTGCATGCACATGGATAAATACTCCATTTATCAAATTTCCACATTTTAAATGTATCATCTGCTTTCAGAGAGACAGTGTTAGGAAGAAGAAGGAGGAGGACGAGGAGGAGGAGAAAGAAGAAAGGAATGAAAAGGAGAAGGAAAAGAAGGAGAAGAAGGGGAAGGAGAAGGAGAGAGAATGATTCTACAGGGAATAAATTGAAGGATTCAGCTAAATTTCAAGAAGCTAAATACTGTAGTAGTATATTAATACTGGTACTGTTATTTTAAACCCCCTATTTTTGAGATATTGTAGAAAAGGCTTACTGACCCATAAATGCATCTTTATACTTTTCTCTTTTTCTCCTGTTTCCTGTTATCTCTTATAATTCACTAAGATGGAAACAACAAGATCCAGTGATTTCACTTTAGGCATTTGTATAAAAGCAGGGTTTTTTTTTTCCTTCATGTTCAGTTGCTCTTGCCTTCCCTGTATTCTTACTAGTACATATATTTTTGATCTTTCCTTTTATTGTATTTCCTTTCAAAGACACTTTCAAATGTCTTTGATCATTATAGGATCAAAATACCAAAGACTTGATGGTTTAATCAAGAGAAATTTATTTCCTTGCAGTTCTGTGAAATTTCGCAGTTCTAGAAGTCCAAGATCAGGGTGCTGGCAGGGTTGGTTGGCATCTGCTGAGACCTTTTTGGCTTGTGATAGGTTGCCTTCTTGCTGGCCTTTCCTCTATGTGCGCATGGAGAGCCTTATCTCTGCTGTCTCTTCCTCCTCTTCTATGGACAGCAGTCCTATTGAATTAGAGCCCCCCACCATGACCTATTTAACCTTTCAGGTCCTATCTCTGAATATAGTCACATTGGAGGTTAAGGCTTCAACATATGAATTCGGGGGGACACAGCTCAGTCCAGACTAGTATAAAAAAATTTTAAAGATATGGAAAGCAGTAAGAGAATTTCCTACAGGTTCTTGTTATTATTATCTCTGATTTGAAAGGCAAGTGACAATAAAGCACAACTATATTTAACACTGAATTTAAAAAATATATATTTAGGGACAAAAAATTTCAACAGAGCAGACAATTTTCTTTTGGTGAATATACCTGTTTAGAACCATAGTTTTCAAATAATAACAGCAACAAGCATTTATTAGGCTTCTTATATGCCAATCATCAGACTGAGAAATTTGTAAACAAGTGGGGATTTATTGAGACTTGTTTTTTGCATAACATGTGAGCATTCTCTATAAATGTGCCTGCCATATAAGTTTTTTTAGAAAAACACTCGTCTCTAATTTTATGTATCAACATTCTATCTATGCCTTTTTTTTCTTTAATGAACACATGTTATGTTTTGTTCAACTCATTATTTAGTCAAGAAACTGGTAAGATGTTCACGCCAATTCAAAGAGTGTATTAGTCTTCTCTCATGCTGCGGGTAAAGACATACCCAAGACTGGGTAATTTATAAAGAAAAAGAGGTTTAATGGACTCACAGTTTCACATGGCTGGGGAAGCATCACAGTCATAGTGGAAGAGGAAGGAAGAGCAAAGGCACATCTTACATGGTGGCAGGCCAGAGAACGCGTGCAGGGGATCTCCCCTTTATGAAAGCATCAGGTCTCATAAGACTTATTCACTATCACAAGAACAGCATGGGAAAGACTCACCCCCATGATTCAATACCTCCCACCGGGTCCCTCCCATGACACATGGGAATTATGGGAGCTACAATTCAAGATGACATTTGGGTGGGGACAGAGCCAAACCATATCAAAGAGCATTTGAGAAGCTAGGAGTATATTAATAAACATGTTAGGATAGAATTGTAGGTTTTAGATACAAAACTGATTAGTGTTTTAGAGAATAATGAATAATAATATGTGGGTTATCTCATCCACCAGAGAGAAATTATTTGCATTTCTACCAGACAAAAATCTGCACATTAACCTCTGCCACCCAATAATTGCAAACAGCCCAGTCAATAGAAAGTCAAGTCCAGAATATCATTGAAAGAACACTTAATAATTTATTTTGCCTATATTCACAGCTGTTTCACTGTTTGCATTCTATTTCAGTAGATTTTTAGAATATACCTACATATATGTTCAGGATCATTATATAATGCTACTAAGATTTTGTTTCATCTTAAGTAATAGAAACAAAATACATATGGATTTTTATTTAAATAATATTTTGCTGCTTTATACTAGTATTGATATATAAATTATCCTATGGTTGTTATTTTTTGGTCTTTCTCTTACCCTTTAGGGGTTAAAATTCCTGTGATATTACAAATGGGTTTGAAACTTGTAGAGAAAATGCGATCAAATAATCTTTGCCTTTTACAGTTGAAACTAAAACATTGTTATCTCTTTCAATTATTGCCCTTTGGAATTATTATAAAGCTTGTTTTGTGTGGCGCTTTCATACCTTTTCTTTTTTTTTTTTTTGAGATGGAATCTCGCACTCTCGCCCAGGCTGGAGTGCAGTGGCGCCATCTTGGCTCACTGTAAGTTCCTTTCATACCTTTAAAATAATGTTTTGGATTTGATACAGTTTCATATACATATCAATGTGTGTGTTTATATGTTTATGTGTAGTTATGTACCCATATGTACACATTCATGTAGGTATAATTTATGTATACTTATGTGAAAACACATATATACACATGTATTGGGGAAGTGCATACGTGTGTACTTGTGTGTGTGTGCGCATGTGTGTGTGTGTCACATGAACCTGTATAACTACTACTTTGTACTAGACACAAAATATTTTCATCACTCAGGAAGTTCTTTTCAGCAAGTTTCCAGGCACTACCTCCACATAAAATAGAATCTTTATTTTGATCTCAGTACAATGGCTTATCTTTACTTGCACTTTAGCTTCATAAAAATGGCACCATTAAGTATTTATTATTTTATTTCTGGCTAGTTTTTCTAAAAATATAGTTTTGGAAATTCATTAATTTTGAGTGTAACTGTACTTCTTTTAATTTCTGTGTAGTGCACTACAGGATATGGATATTCCACAATATGTTTATGAATTTGATGGATAAAATGCCTCAATATTGTTGATACTAATCTCTCTTGATCTAAAGTTTCCATAAAAAGCAATAAAAATCAAACAGTTTTGTTGAAATTGCAAGCTGATTTTAAAATGGAAATGCAGAGGACTTGGAATACCTAAAACAGTCTTGAAGAATAACAGACTAGTAGGGTTTACACTACCATTTTTGATGTTTCACTATCGAGGTAGAGTCATTATGACAACGTGGTGTTGGTGGAAGGACATACAAAAACACCAATGGTCATAAAAGATTCTGGAAAGAGGCCAGCGATATGGCGACTTGATCTCTATTACAAAGGCACAACTGTATTTATTTGGAGGAAAACTAACCTTTTAAATAAGTTGTTATGAAGCAATTACCTATCCAATGTGAGCTAACTGATTCTGTCCCCTATTTTACACCAAACAAATTTCTTTAATGTGGATTATACATCTACATTGAAAGGCAAATCAATCAAGCTTGTGTTAGAGGATAGAATAGCTTCATGATCTTAGAATGGGCAAACATTTCTTGAAGATGTCTCTTTTTACATTAAGTTTGCTGAGAGTATTCAATCTTGCTTTTTTTTGTCCTAAGTAGGTTCTAAATTTAACAAATGTATCTTCTGTATCTATTTTTTAATAAAGTAGATTATAATGATTGATTTCAAATATAAAATTCATCTTGTATTCCTAGAATAATTTCTATGTGTTCACCATGTCATACTCTTTTGATATATTGCAAAATTCTTTTTGTTAACATATAGTTAACATAAATCTCAAATCATAAAACAAGGTGAGAATTAGCCCCTCCTTTTGTATTATCTAAAGTAACTTATTACAAGCATTAAATATTTTGGAGCCATTTTTTGGAAATCATGTGGGCCTAGATGTTTTGTTTGTTTTGGAGAAAAGTGCTTTAATTGGAGACTCAACTATGCCAATGGTTCAATGGTGATGCAGATTTACTTTTCTATTTAATTGAGAAAATTTATTATTCATAAAATTTTATCCATATTTATTGCCATTAATTGGTTGAGGATAAGCCGTCTTATATGTGTAATGTCTATATGATCTGTGGTGATCATGTCCCTTTATTCAACTAATATTTGGATAATTTGTTTTTTCAGCTTTTTTTGAAATAAGATACCCATTTTGGTAGGTTGTTATAACTTGTATATATCTTCAAAAAATTAGTTTGAGCTTTGATGATTTTCTTCATTATATTTTGTATTTCATTGATAGCCAATATTATCCTTAAAACTTATTTCCTACTTTATAGCGTCTCTTAGCTTAACTCACCATCTATAATGCTTTTTGGAGATGGAGTTAGATCATCTACATTCAAACTGACCTTATTTTTATTTATACATTAAAGCTATAAATGCACTACCTCTCAGCTCTGCCTTTTTGGGATCCCATAAGTTTAGATACCCTGTATTTTTAATGTCACTTAGCTCAAAATGAGTTATCTCATTATTTTATTTGCAAATCTTTCGAGATTTTTAAGTGATATTTCTATTAGTTGGTTCTCATTTAAATCCACAATGCTCAGACACTTTTCTCTGTAAGATTTCAATCATTTAATATTTATTGATACTGCTTTATTTCTCACCATATTATTTGCTTTGGTAAATACTCTACATTAGCAATGTTTCTCTTTGGTATAAGATTTTAGAAATATATATTTTGATAAAATGAAAAAATACATTGCTGAGGTAGGTTGTTTTTTTCCATTCTTAAATATGATTATGGACCTCTTTTTCCTTTATTCTCTCACATTTGCTCTATATATTTTGAAGCAATGTAATTATATGCATACAACATTATGATTGCTATCTTCCCCTTCATCATAATTAAATATTCCTCATTATTTCTTCTAGAACATCCTTCCTTTAGACTACTGCTATGGACCAAATTGTCTCCCTCCCACTCCAAATTCTTATGCTGAAACCGTGACCCCTAACATGACTATATCTAAAGACGTATAATTGTCGCATTGTAACCCTTGAATATATATGATGTTTGTCAATTAAATATTTTAAGGCCAGGCACAGTGGCTCATTCCTGTAATCCCGGCACTTTGGGAGGCTGAGGCAGGCAGATCACAAGGTCAGGAGATCGAGACCATCCTGGCTAACATGGTGAAACCCCCATCTCTACTAAAAATACAAACAATTAGCCAGGCATGGTGCCGGGCACCTGTAGTCCCAGCTACTCAGGAGGCTGAGGCAGGAGAATCGCTTGAACCTGGGAGGCGGGGTGAGTCAAGATCGCGCCACCCCATTCCAGCCTGGGTGACAGAGCGAGACTCTGTCTCGAAAAGAAAAAAAAAAAATTAAGTGAAAAATCATATGCTGATTATTCTTTCTTGTTTGTACTCAACCAAAAACTACTTGTGCTGTGGTTTCACATATAAACTTTTAGGAAGGAGCAGCATTGGAAGGATACAGACTCTAAATTGCAATCTACAGCCCTGCAGGATTAGGTAGAAAGGGTGGTGGGAATTTAAACATCAAAAGGCAGAACTTCAACTATTCTCTTCAACATCTTACTTCTGTGAACATTGTTTATAGCTGATTTTTCCAGTGAAAGGGCAGGCAAAATAACTGTGGAGAATAAGAAAGAATACTAGAAAAGCTTTCTTCCAATTGTCGTTACTAAAGAGACCATTTTTCTCTGCCCATGAGGCACAAATTGTCCAGTAAATTATGGCATTTTCTTCTTCCTGGAAGCTAGCGTGCCTCTAATTTAAAAATTTTGTTGTGATTGTTGAGATGGAGTCTTGCTCTGTTGCCCAGGCTGGAGTGCAGTGGTGCAGTCCTGGCTCCCTGTAGCCTTGAACTCCTAGGCTCAAGTGATCCTCCTACCTCAGTTAGGACTACAGGGGCCTTCCACCATGCCTGGCGAATATTTATATTTTTTTAAATTATTGTAGAAATGAGTTCTTACTATGTTGCCCATGCTGGAAGCCCGCCCTGTAGAGAAAATCAGTTCTGCTCTCCTCTTTGTTAATCAGTGAAGGCCTTGCACTCTCCATGGGAGAGTCTTGTGATTTCTTAGTGTGGCATGTGATGAAATAAACAAGCCAAATTCCAGCATTTGAGACCAGATAAATCACTTGACCATAAGTATAAGTCACATTCTCCAAACTTGTTCATAAATATTGAAGATTAATTTTTGTTGAGCATTTTCTTCATATGTTGTTGGCCATTTGTATGTCTTCTTTTGAGAAGTGTCTGTTCATGTCTTTTGCCCATTTTTTAATGGGGTTGTTTGTTTTTTGCTTGTTCAATTGTTTCACCACCTTATAGATTCTGGATATTAGGCCTTTGTCAGATGTATAGTTTGTGCATATTTTCTCCCTTTCTGTAGGTTGTCTGTTTACTCTGTTGATATTTCTTGTTGTGCAGCAGCTCCTTTGTTTAATTAAATCTCACTTGTAAATTTTTGCTTTTGTTGCAATTGTTTTTGAGGACTTAGTCATATATTATTTGGCAATGCCAAAGTCCAGAATGGTGTTTCCTAGGTCTTCTTCTAGAACCCCTTATAGTCTGAGGAGTTACATTTAAATATTTAATCCATCTTGAGTTAATTTTTGCATATGGTGAAAGGAAGGCATCTAGTTTTATTCTTCTGTGTATGGCTAACCAGCTAATCATTAGAGAAATGCAAATCAAAACCACAATGAAACACCATCTCACACCAGTCAGAACGGCTCTTATTACAAAATAAAAAACAACAGATGCTGATGAGGCTATGAGGAAAACAGACTGCTTATACACTGTTAGGGGGACTAGAATTAGTTCAGAAACTGTGGAAAGCAGTTTGGAGAGTTCTCAAATAACTTAAAACAGAACTACCATTCAATCCAGCAACCCTATTACTGGGTATATACTCGAAAGAAAATAAGTCAATCCCAGCACTTTGGGAGACCAAGGCGGGGGGATCACATGAGGTCAGGAGTTCAAGACCAGCCTGGCCAATGTGGCAAAACTTTGTCTCTACCAAAAATACAAAAATTAGCTGGGCTTGGTGGTGAGCACCTGTAATCCCAGCTACTTGGGAGACTGAGGCTGGAGAATTGCCTGAACCCAGGGAGGTGGAGGTTGCAGTGAAACGAGATTGTGCTATTGCACTCCAGCCTGGATGACAGAGACTCTGTCTCAAATAAAAAAAAAAAAAAAAAGAAAGACAGAAAGAAAATAAATCATTCTACCAAAAAGACACTGGCACTTATATGTTTATCACAGCATTATTTACAATAACAAAGACATGGAATCAGCCTAAGTGTCCGTAAATGGTGGATCGGATAAAGAAAATGTGATACATATAAACCATGGAATACTATGCAGCCATAAAAAGAATCATAGCCTTTGCAGCAACATGGATGCAGCTAGAGACTATTATTCTAAGTGAATTAACTCAGGAACAGAAAACCAAATACTGCGTGTTCTCACTTATAAGTGGGAGCTAAACATTGGGTCCACTTAGACATTAAGATGGTAACACTAGAAACCAGGAACTACCGGGGGTGGAGGAAGGGTTGAAAAACTAACTAGTGGGTACTATGCTCAGTACCTGGGTGACAGAATCAATCATATCCGAAACCTTAGCATCTCACAATATACCCAGGTGACAAACTTGTATATGTATGCCCTAAATCTAAAATAAAAGTTGAAATTATTTTTATCTCCATTTAATTGATTCATCTCTTTATTGCTTCACTTAGCTTCACTTCATTTGTTCATTGCCTCTAAGAAACTCCTGCAGATATTATACAAACACTCACACAACAAAAAGGCAAGTTCTGTTTGTCAGAATAGTGATAGTATTATGAAATAACGGCAAAAATATATCAGTTTTGAATACACTAACATTCTCTACTAGATAATTAATGTCAATTAGGACATTTGGTTCCGTTATTCTTTACTTATACCCTATGAAGCATTTTAAGGCGACTGATACTTTCAAATGTTTTATTTTAATCTGGTTAATAATTATGTTCACTACATAATTAGGAAAACATATAAAATCTAAGTTTTAGCCGAAATTAATTATTAAATATTAAGATTATGAAAACTTGAAGAGCACTTTACAGTAAGACTAAACTAGTTCACTACCTTAACTTTCTAGAAAGGATATCTTGAACTCATGATAGGAAATTGAAAAATTTTTATACATAGTGAATTGAATGAGTACTTCTTATAGTTTAAACATTTCTGTCAGCAACAGTGACAAAGATGCTTAGAACAATGCAAATTTTAATACACATAAAAATTAAATATGAAAATGTGTAACTGTATACTAATTTATGTAGCATACTTTCTATACATAACCATACCATACCAGAACAACACCTCCTGCATAGTTTGCATCACACATCTTCCCTTGAAAGGTTGCACCAACATAATTTGACTTTTCTCTGTAACTTAAGTTTAAAAAGGGATCATAATCATATAATTTTGTAAAAATTAATATGAATTTTTATAAGACAAATTTTACATTTATGATAATCATTAATATTTACATCTAACATTAATGTAACATAGCATAAGATGTGACTAAATCTTTCTGCTTCTTTTAAAAACAATAAAATAAATTTTAAAAACAAAGTGTATTTTATATGGATTTCTGTAACATAACAAAGATTCATTTTATGTAGATTTAAAAAAACTAAAACAGAAAAACTGAAGAAAAAACAAAAAATAATAAAAATAAATAAAATTCCTTAAAAGTAAAAAGCTAAGGCAATGCAACTTGTTAATGAGCAGAATCACTCTATGGACTAAAGTCTCTCATTATTCAGACAAAATTAGCCTTCTAGAGACATGAAAAAGCATGTCATATTTATGGGACAGAAGATAAAAAGTAAAATGTTTAAAACTCCATGTTTAATCTTAAAAACTCTCTCTCTCTATATATATATATACACATATATATACACACATAATATATGTATATATATTCTGAATATTGATAAAAGAAAAACAGAGTCTATTAAATAGAAAGGAAGGCTAATGTACTAAAACCTTAAGCACAATGCAGATATATTAGAGATATTAAAACATAGTGTTTCAATTACTTTGCTTACTTTTTAATTTACAACAACAAATCATAACAAGAAGGCTGAATTACTATATTTATAGAATTCAGATGTTTCTCCAAATAGATATTGTGAAAATTTTATGTATTGTGTGAGATTTTTAATAATGTGGTATATACCCTAGGGAAAGAAGTAATATGGGAACAAGATTGGGGAGTGAGTTTTAACTTCAAACCAATAAATAAATTGATATCAGTAATTCCAATATAAATACCATGTTGTGAAAAATATTTACATGGCGTGTGTGAGAAAAAAATAGATTTTTTTAATACACATTTATCAACAGTAAGATATTCGGTCAAATTGCATAAATTTTCTTCAGATAAACTTTATATAATGTCAAGATATCCTTACACAAGTAAAAATGCCACATCATGAGGACGTAAAACAAGATAAGATGTTTTCCATCTTAAAAATGTGTGTAATAACTCATTAGCTTCTCCAGTGGTTGCAATTTTATTTTCATCTATCCAAAGCTCCAATGAAGACAGAATAATTGTAATATTAAATGAAACAAAAATCTAAAATAGAAAACATACAAAAGTGTGCTCAAAAGTCACAGTTTTTAAAAATTAGATATATATGTTTGAAAACAAATTTATGATAAATATTAAACAACTAAA
This sequence comes from Homo sapiens, assembly GCF_000001405.40. Classification (NCBI taxonomy): domain Eukaryota; kingdom Metazoa; phylum Chordata; class Mammalia; order Primates; family Hominidae; genus Homo; species Homo sapiens. The sequence continues at coordinate 39,788,354 of NC_000008.11, forward strand.
CTATAAGTCTGCATTTCATCTTTTAAAGTAGATTAGTAAGTTTAAAATGTTACTAATAATAAAAGTAATACTTGAGATTTTATAATGCTTGCATTTAAGGAAGCCCCATACCCCATGCTTTATATAATTTAAGTCTTACAGTAGCCAAATTATGTGCATACAATTATTATTCCCACTTCAGATAAGTAAAATTTAAAATAAAACTTAATTTCCCTTATGCCACACAACGTGTGGATTCATGTAGTGTCATAATGAGGTGTAGAAATTGTTTTAGTAACACAAGAAGTGCAAAAGTACTAAGAAGCAAAGACTTACAGCATTCGTCAATCCAATCAACTGGAAAACTTTTTGAGCGACAACAGTTGTATCAGACCCCATATGATTATACTGTAAAATATTATTACATTTTAGATATAAATATATATTGCTTAACATTTAATGATTGTTATTGTTTCATTTAAAATTCAATTTGGTGAAGTAATAAATTATTTAAATTACAAACATATTAGTTTTTAGACATTATTTTCTTATACAAATTATATGTTATATGTTCAGTATAAAAACTGAAAAATATGAATTGGAATTTATATTTTTTCCATAGAAATTTAAAAAGTTTAAACATTATAAAAAGGTATAATTCTACTATCAACAAAATAATTATAATAATTATTAAAAGAAAAGTTTAGCTCTAAACCGGAATGTTTAGATGTGTGTATAGGAGACATAGTACATTTTTGAAGATACAATTCACCTAAAAGTAAAGGAACTTAAAAGATATACCATACAAACATCACTAATAAGAGAGCTAGGATGTCTATCAGGAAGATATAAAAATTATAAACATGTATGCAACCAAAAACAGAGCCAGAGAATTACACAAGGCAAAAAATAACAGAATTGAAGGGAGAAATAGAAAATTTAACAATCGTATTTAAAGACTTAAGTAAACAGCTTTCAATAATAGAATACCTAGGCAAAAATATCAACAGAGATATTGAAGACTATAACAAAATTATAAGGCAATAGATATCTATAGCACATTTCACTACAAAACAGCAAATATGCGTTTTTTAAGTGCCCATGGATCATGATCCAGAAATAAAGCACAGAAAAATGAAAATTATTCAGAATGTCCATAACAATTTTAAATAAGAACAAAGTTGGAGGATTCACATATCTCAATTTCAAAACTAACTATAAACTACAGTAACCAAGACAATTTGTTACTGGCCTTTTATTAGATTTACAGATCAGTGAAATTGAGTGCCCAGAAATAGATTCTAACATTTACAGTCAATTAATATTTGAAGAAGAATCCAAGAAAATCAAATGGAGAAAGATTAAGTTTTCAAAATTAAAAACTTCCTGCTTCAAATGACACCATCAAGAAAACAAAAAGACAACCTTCAGAAATGGTAAAAATATTTGCAAAATATATATCCCATAAAGATCTAGTATATAGAATATATAAAGAACATTTACAACTAACAACAAAAAGGCAACCTAATTAAAACATGTGCAAATAATGTGAATAGACATTTCTCCAAATAAGATATGCAAATAACTAGTACACAAATGCAAATATTCTCAACTTCATTGTGTATTAGGGAAATGTAAATCAAAACCACAAAGAGAAACAAATTCACATCCATTAGAATCACTGTAATTCAAAAGACACACATTAACAAGTGTTGGTGAGGATGTGAAGAAATTGGAATTCTTATGCATGCTGATGGAAATATAAAATGGAGCAACCATTTCTGAAGACAGTTTGTCAAACGTGAAAAGGAGTTATCTTATAATCCAAAAATTCACAGTTCTCATTCTTCACACCTACCCAATACGAGTTAAAATGCATGGCCACACAAAAATTTGTACACAAATGTTTATAGTAATGTTATTCATAATAGCTTAAAAGTGGAAAAAGTGAAATGTCCATCAACTAATGAATAGGTAATCAAATTGCGACACAATAGGCTATTTTACAGTAAGAAGAAACGCAGTACTAATCCATGCCATAACATGTATAAACCTGAAAATCACTACGGTAAATGAAAAAATAGTCATAAATCATTACATATTGTATGATACCATTTAAATGAAGTGTGCAAAACAGAAAAATCTGTATGTTCAAAAAGTAAATTAGTGATTGCTTGGCCTGTGGTACAGGAAAGTAAGGGCAGAGGGATTGGGAGTAATTGCTAATGGATGCAAAGTCTTTTTATAAGGTGATGAATATTCTAAAATTAGATTATTGTTATTATTGTTTGCACAAATCTGTAAATATACTAAAAACCATGGAATTTTACATTTCACATAGTTTAACATCATAAAATATAAGTTACATTTCAATAAAGATTTTTAAAAACAACATCAAAAAAGAAGCAGTTAGAACTTCCAAATCTTCTCCTCTTTTCAAGGAGATCAGTGGTACATCTCTCCACTATAAGCAGGTTCTAATAAAGGGCCTTTGGAAAGGGAACAACTCCTGAAAAGAGAGGATTAAATGTAATATTTTAATGTCCCCAATTAACACTCCAACCATGTCTAATTAATAGTGCTTTTCCCCCATGACAAAAATATGAAGATACAGAGCTTACCTAAAGAGCAGAGTGCTCCCCACTTGAAAATCCCATGCATCTAAACAGTTTTCAACTTTGATTTTAACAACTAAATATAGAAATATAATTATAACACTTACAATTTAAAAAAAAAAAAGGATGTAAGGCCTCGAATGGGGTGACTTATGCTAAAGTTTCATGTTAATAAACTAAAACCTAAGTTGTTTACTTGAAAGAGCTGACCTTTCAAGAATCCAGGGAGAGATAATAGCCAAGCCAGCCAGTTTTAATAAAAACAGAACATTCTCAGTAACCAATCAAAAGGGGCCCAGTTAATCTAAGTTAGCATAGTAAGAATGTCCTCTCTGCTTTAACCCATATAAAGAATGTAGCCTGATGCTAACAAGTCTATTTTTGCACTATTGCTGTTTCCTCATTTCTGATAAATCTGCCTGACACAGCTTATGTCTACTGGGTGCTGCCTGGTTCATGAATTGTATTGAAAATCAGTTAGATCTTTGAAACTCAGCTTGTTAGGATTCTGCTCTCTGACAGTCTTTGAAGATGGTATCTGAAGGAGGGTTGTGGCTATCCCTGTAACCCATTAGGTATGCAGATGAGGTGACTGCTGGCTCCTTTAGACTTCTCTGCCTTCCTCACCAAACCCAGAATTTGTCAGTAAGTTCCTCTTGAATTTCAGCTGTACTCTCTTCGTTGAGCTCTCTGATACTTTTGGCTTTCCAGTTCAAGGTCCTTTTGTGTTGTAGCAAAGCATATGACCTTTGGGTGTTTTGTGGTGCTCCATTAGACAGACAAGGGCTGAAGCTTTAGAGGTAAAAGATAGCTGTTGCCACATTCACAGGGATTTTGTTTCTCTCCTCCTTGTTTCTTATCTTATATGCAAAGGTAAAAAAAATCTTTGACTATATTGGTCAAAGGAATCTCAGAGCCGAGCCACAACTTGACTGATGGGCATGGATCAAACACTTAAAAACTGTTAAAGTGTCTGCCACCTAAAACTAGGATTCCTGTGTTAGGATAAGTTGGTGACAGAATGGGTTAGCTTGACACTAGTGCACTTGCCACTTGCCAGCTTCAAGAAAAATTTCCATTCAGTGAAGAATACTATAAAATATCACACAACACAGCAGTGTAGCACTACCATCTTGGGCTTTTTTTTTTCTCAGCTCCAAGAAACCCAAGGCACAATACAAGAATGGGATCTTTACATTCTAAAGTATCCAGTACTCTATCTTCTGGTATACCTGCTTCTCTTATGCTCAAAATGTATGTTCCTGGAAGCTGTAAATATTTACAAAAAAAAATGGCAAAACCTTACTAAACATAATTTAGAATTACAATGGCTTTTATGAGGAATGTTATAATTGCACAAAATCATCCATCTAAGAGGTGCACATGAAAATAAGCACTCCCAAATTAGGCATAGAGAATGGTACATCTATTTTCATTGATATGAAGTAGTTTCTATAAGACCTCAGGATTCTAAAATAGCTTCACTAAAATATTATTTACAAAAGACTGTAAGACTGATGAAACCCCTATTGTCCCTCTCTTTCCTCCTCTGCTTACTAATATTTTCACTTAGTCGAATTCCCTCCTCAAAGAACAAAATAAAGGTTGATAAATGCCTTGTGAAGTTAGGCCCTCAAATCAATCAGATGTGCTTCTTTAACCACCTTTATATCTTGGTCAAGATCCTGAGCTCAGAGCAGTGGCTAAAGGCATTGCTGTTCTACTGGAAAATCCCAAGAAACCATCCCCAAAGTATTTTGTCAAAAAAAAATTGTGAAAGGACTGCAAATCAATTTTATAAATAGAAAAAGAATGAACCAGCCTCTGACTATAAGTTAAGATTAAAAGCACTATTTTTAAAACATTCTGGTCTATGCATGTTGAGCCCATACATAGAAAATGCTTTTTCTGCCCTCCGTGGTAATAGGTTTAACTCTGAATTCAGTAATCTAGTTAAAAAACACAAACTGGGTCGGGAAGACAGTGATATAGCCAAAATATGCCTTTATGGCACAATGACTAACTCTAGTCAGTTATTTTGAGACCTCTTTATAAGAAAAAGTTGCATAAAATCTCCATGTATAAGGTATCCTCCCTCCCTGCACCAGGACTAAAATCATAGAAACTCTTACTTGGGAGAAAAGGCATTGGCTTAAATCTACATAGCAAGCCTTGCATTTATGTTTGAGATTCTTTTCACGATCATGTTGTCTTAATGGACTTTTACCCCCACCTTATTTATTTCAGCAAATGATAGTATTTAGGTCTGAAGTCTACGTTCTGTGCCTTTTAAATGTTAATTCTCTACCTTATCATACTTAAATGCCATCCCTTTAGAAATGCAAAATGAGAGCAGCCATCTGTAGATTGTTATTAAGAAATAGAATGAATAAAATGGACCTTAATTGGGTTAAAACAAAAGTTTAAATGTAACATTACCAAGGGATGGATGGACCAAAGGGACACCTTGGCTACTTCCCTAACATTAAAGGGTGTTAAGCAAGTCTGCCCTATTTATCCATTGGGAGAATTTTTTAAGCTAGAAGGTAGAGATTACAATGAGAAACCTGACTTGTAACCACTTGAGGCAATGGTCAGGTAGGTTAATCAAGATCAAGACTGAAAAAAGGACAAGGGTCCTTTGGCTCAACTCACTGATAAGAACTCAAAGTCTTTTGCATAAGAGTAGGTAAAATGATCAGGGCAAAAGAAATTTCCAGACTCCTTGGTATGGCAGCCTCATGTGCTGTGGTGCCAAAATCTATTGGTAAAGCCCTCACTTGGGCTACAATTTGATTGAGAGAACATAAAAATATAAAGATTGATGGGTTTCGAACTGGAGAATTTCTATTTGAGGGACATTAACTAAAGCTGCCATGTCACATTTCCTCAGACTAAGGAAAGTCTATACAGCCCATAATGTCCAACAATGGGCAGAAATAGCCTCGTCAGAGAAATAGTTTGATAGAGAAGTGAAATGGAAATTTGGAAGATTTGTTGTCTAAAAAGGAAGAGGGCAACGACAATTGGAAAAGTGACAAATAAAAAATCTTAAAAGTCTGTTTTAGCCATCTGGGTGAATAATCTTGTTCCATTAGCTACAAATATAATTCTGATCCAGATTTGCATGTGTTTTTATGAACTAGTGAGTTTTGTGTGTTACTGTATCAGGCATATGGCTAAAATTTTAGACTAAAAACTGCAAGACCTGCTTCTGTGTATGTTGATGTATGCCTTGTAGTATTTATGTATGTTTGTATGTCATATGTACAGAGTATTTTTCTATCTTTAAATGGTATTGCCAACATTAATATATGTTAAGGATCTCTAGTTAATTGACTTGAAGAAAATAAGTGTTTATATAAATGAAATATTCCTAAAACTGCTAGAAATATGGGAATGAATTCAAATGCTTTTCATGTACACTTGTTTGTGGATAACTTCAGTGCATGAAAAGTTAGCTATAGCATGCTGGTTTATTTAAAATAAGGGAGGAGACCACCCCTCATATAGTCCTTTACCCAATTTCTGCCTCCAAAGAAAGAAGAAGTAAAAACTAAAAGGCAGAAATGAAATCCACAGGAAGACAGCCTGGCACCGCACCATGGGACTGGTAGTTAAAGATCGACCCCTGACCTAACTGGTTATGTTATCTATAGATTCCAGGCATTGTATGGAAAAGCACTGTGAAAATCCCTATCCTGTTTTGTTCTGATCTAGTTACTGGTGCATGCAGCCCCCAGTCACATACCCCCTGCTTGCTCAATCAATCATGACCCTCTCATGCACACCCCCTTAGAGTTGTGAGCCCTTAAAAGGGACAGGAATTGCTCACTCAGGGAGCTTGACTCTTGAGACAGGAGTCTTGCCAATGCTCCTGGCTGAATAAACCGCTTCCTTCTTTAACTCGGTGTCTGAGGGGTTTTGTCTGCGGCTTGTCCTGCTACCAAAATAGACAAGTCTTTGGAGTTGTCAGCATTTTCTACCTAGGTTTCCTAATATAATAATTTCATGTTATCTCTATATTATGCAATTCATAAACAAGAAAAATAATTCAATGATGAATAGCTTTGTTTTGTGTTATACTTTATCTACTAAAAAAAAATCTCCCTAAATATCTTTGGTAATTTACACTTTTAAAGTTTTGCTAAGTTAAGTTGAAGAATAGATAATTATGGACTATCTAGATCATTTTCAAATAAGGCAAATGGTGAAACATCAATTTCTGAACATATGTGTAAGCTGTAAACACAAAATAAAATTCTAAGGCCACCAATCATCTGAATGACCCCTCCTCTTGGCTATAGCATTCCAAAATTAATCTGAAAAACAAGTTCAGGCCATGATGGGAAGAGGGGTGGGGGTCAGACATGCCTCAGTATACCTCCTGCTTTTTAGAATTCAGGAAAAGACAACAGCACAGACCTTAAGTCTGATAAGAAACATTTACAATCTATTCTCTCTGAAGCCTGCTACCTGGAGGCTTCATCTGCATGATAAAACCTTGGTCTCCACAACCCTTAATTGGAAACCAGACATTTCTTTCTATTGATAACTCCTTCAATCATTTAACAATCAGAAAATTTTTAACTCTACCTATGACCTGGAAGAACCTGCTTCAATTTTTACTGCCCTTCCAGACTGAACCAATGTAAATCTTACATATATCATTTGATGTATTATGTCTCCCTAAAATCCATAAAAGCAAGCTGTACCCCAACCACCATGGGCACAAGTCATCAGGACCTCCTAAGACTGTGTTAAGGGCATGTTCTTAACCTTGGCAAAACAAACTTTCTAAATTGATTGGTACCTATCTCAGATACTTTGTGGTTCACAAAGTTTATATACTTTTGGCATCTTGTTTTTATATGGTATAAAGAAGCTAAAAATATTTGGATTTGTAAATAGACATGAAAAATTGTACCATAAAGAAACATGTTTCTCACTGCACTTACATAATAATTAGGCCCAAGTTTAATGAGACTAGATTTATTCTGCAAACCCAATGGTCTTTCCTTGATTATCTTTAGTAGAAATGGGGAAGCTGTAGAGAGAAAAAGAACATGTGTCAGAAATAGAGTATATACACTCATTATTAGATTCTCTTTTTTTTTCCTTTATTTCTTCTTCTAAAAAAAAAACAGGATACATGTGCAGAATGTGCAGGTTTATTACATAGGTATATGTGTGCCATGGTGGTTTCCTACACCTATTGACTCATCCTCTAAGTTCCCTCCCCTCAGCCCCCACCCCACAACAGGCCCTGGTATGTGTTGTTCCACTCTCTGTGTCCTTGCATTCTCAATGTTCAGCTCCCACTTATGAGGGAGAACATGTGGTGTTTGGTTTTCTGTTCCTGTGTTAGTTGGCTGAGGATGATGGCTTCCAGCTTCATCCATGTCCCTGCAAAGGACACAATCTCGTTCCTTTTTTAGGTAGCATAGTATTCCATGGTGTATATGTACCACGTTTTCTTTATCCAGTCTATTATTGATGGGCATTTGACTTGGATCCATGTCTTTGCTATTGTAAGTAGTGCTGCAATAAACATACATGAGCATGTGTCTTTAGGGTAGAATGATTTATATTCCTTTGAGTATATACCCAGTAATGGGATTGCTGGGCCAAATGGTATTTTGGGTTCTAGACCCTTGAGGAATCTCCATACTGTCTTCCACAATAACTGAACTAATTTACATTCCCACCAATAGTGTAAAAGTGTTCCTATCTCTCCACAGCGTCTCCAGCATCTATTATTTCCTGACTTTTTAATAATCGCCATTCTGACTTGTGTGACATGGTATCTCATTGTAGTTTTGACTTGAATTTCTCTGATTATTAGTGATGTGGAGCTTTTTTTTCCATATGTTCATTGGCCAGATAAATGTCTTCTTTTGAGAAGTGTCTGTTCATATCCTTTGCCCACTTTTTGATGGGGTTGTTTTTTTTCTTGTAAATATGTTTAAGTTCCTTGTAAATTCTGGATATTAGACTTTTGTCAGATGGGTAGATTGCAAAAATTTTCTCCCACTCTGTACTCCGTAGGTTGCCTGTTCACTCTGATGATAGTTTCTTTTGCTGTGCAGAAGCTCTTTAGTTTATTTAGATCCTATTTGTCAATTCTGGCTTTTGTTGCAATTGCTTTTGGTATTTTTGTCAAGAAGTCTTCACTCATGCCTATTTCCTGAATGGTATTGCCTAGGTTTTCTTCTAGGGTGTTTATGGATTTGGGTTTTACATTTAAGTCTTTAATCCACCTTAAGTTAATTTTTGTATAAGGTGTAAGGAAGGGGTCCAGTTTCAGTTTTCTGCATATGGCTAGCCAGTTTTCCCAGCACCATTTACTGAATCGGAGATCCTTTCCTCATTGCTTGTTTTTGTCAGGATTGTCAAAGACCAGATGGTTGTAGATGTGTAGAGTTATTTATGAGGTCTCTGTTCTGTTCCACTGGTCTATATGTCTGCTTGGTACCAGTACCATGCTGTTTTGCTTACTGTAGCCTTGTAGTATGGTTTGAAGTCAGGTAGCTTGATGCCTCCAGCTTTGTTGTTTTTGCTTAGGATGTTCTTTGCTATATGGGGTCTTCCTTGATTGCATATGAAATTTAAAATAGTTTTTTCTAATTCTGTGAAGAATGTCAATGGTAGTTTTATGTGAATAGTATTGAATCTATAAATTACTTTGGGCAGTATGGCCATTTTCATGATATTGATTCTTCCTATCAATGAGGATGGAATGTTTTTCCATTTGTTTGTGTCCTCTTTTATTTCCTTGACTTTTATTTCTCTTTGAAGAGGTCCTTCACATCCTTTGTTAGCTGTATTCCTAGGTATTTTATTTTCTTTGTAGCAATTGCAAATGGGAGTTCATTTATGATTTGACTCTCTGTTTGCCTATTGTTGGTATAAAGGAATGCTTGTGATTTTTGCACATTGATTTTGTATCCTGAGATTTTGCTGAAGTTGTTTATCAGTTGAAGAAGCTTTTGGGCTTAGATGGTGGGGTTTTCTAAATATAAAATTATTCATCTGCAAACAGACAACTTCACTTACTCTCTTTTTATTTGAATACACTTTATTTCTTTCTCTTGCCTGATGGCCCTGGCCAGAACTTCCAATACTATGTTGAATAGGAGTAGTAAGACAGGGCATCCTTGGCTTGTACAAGTTTTCAAAGGGAATGCTTTCAGTTTTTGCCCATTCAGTATGATATTGGCTGTGGGTTTGTCATAAATAGCTCTTATTATTTTGAGATATATTCCATCAATACCTAGTTTATTGAGGGTTTTTAACATGAAGGGATGTTGAATTTTATCAAAGGCCTATTCTGCATCTAGTGAGATAATCATATGGTTTTTGTCTTTGGTTCTGTTTATGTGATGGATTACATTTATTGATTTAGGTATGTTGAACCAGCCTTGCATCCCAGGGATGAAGCTGGCTTGATTTTGGTGGATAAGGTTTTTGATGTGCTGTTAGATTTGGTTTGCCAGTATTTTATTGAGGATTTTTGCATTGATGTTCATCAGGGATATTGGCCTGAAGTTTTCTTTTTTTGTTGTGTCTCTTCCTGGTTTTGGTATCAGGATGATGCTGGCTTCATCAAATGACTTAGGGAGGAGTCCCTCCTTTTCAATTGTTTGGAATAGTTTCAGAAGTAATGGTACCAGCTCCTCTTTGTATTTCTGGTAGAATTCAGCTGTGAGTCTGTCTGGTCCTGGGCTTTTTTTGGTTGTCAGGCTATTAACTACTGCCTCAATTTCAGAGCTTGTTATTGGTCTATTCAGAGACTCAACATCTTCCTGGTTTAGTCTTGGTAGGGTGTATGCATCCAGGAACTTATCCATTTCTTCTAGACTCTCCAGTTTTTTTTGCATAGAGGTGTTTATACTATTCTCTGATGGTAGCTTGTATTTCCATGGGGTCAGTGGTGATATCCCCTTTATCATTTTTTTATTGTGTCTGGTTCTTCTCTCTTTTCTTCTTTATTAGTCTAGCTTGCAGTCTGTCTATTTTGTTAATTTTCTTCAAAAAACCAGCTCCTGGATTCATTGATTTTTTTGGAGGGGTTTTCATGTCTCTCTCTCCTTCAATTCTTCTCTGATCTTAGTTATTTCTTGTCTTCTGCCAGCTTTTGAATTACTTTGCTCTTGCCTCTCTAGCTCTTTTAATTGTGATGTTAGACTCAATTTGAGATCTTTCTAGCTTTCCAACATGGGCATTTCGTGCTATAAATTTCCCTTTTAACACAGCTTTAGCTGTGTCCCAGAGATTCTGTTAGGTTGTCTCTTTGTTCTTACTGGTTTCCAAGAACTTCTTGATTTCTGCCTTAATTTCATTATTTACCCAGTAGTCATTCAGGAACAGGTTGTTCAATTTCCATGACATTGTGTGGTTTTGAGTGAGTTTCTTAATCCTGGGTTCTAATTTGATGGCACTGTGGTCTGAGAAACTGTTATGATTTCAGTTCTTTTGCATTTGCAGAAGAGTGTTTTACTTCCAATTATGTGGTTGATTTTAGAATAAGTTCCATGTGGCACTGCAAAGAATGTATATTGTGTTGATTTAGGGTAGAGAGTTCTGTAGACATCTACTAGGTTCACTTGGTCCAGAGCTAATATCAACTCCTGAATATCCTTGTTAATTTTCTATCTTGTTGATCTGTCTAATACTGACAGTGGGGTGTTAAAGTCTCCCACTATTATTGTGTGGGAGTCCAAGTCTCTTTGTAGATCTCTAAGAACTTGCTTTATGAACCTGGGTGCTCCTGTATTGGGTGCATATATATTCAGAATAGTTAGCTCTTCTTGTCAAATTGTTCCCTTTACCCTTATGTAGTGTCCTTCTTTGTCTTTTCTGATCTTTGTTGGTTTAAAGTCTGTTTTGTCAGAGACTAGGAATACAACCATTTTTGTCTTTCCATTTACTTGGTAAATATTCCCCATCCCTTTATTTTGAGCCTGTGTGTCTTTGCACGTAAGATGGGTCTCCTGAGTACAGCACACCAATGAGTCCTGACTCCTTATCCAATTTGCCAGCTTGTGTCTTTTAATTGGGACATTTAGCTCATTTACACTTAAGATTACTATTGCTATGTGTGAATGTGATCCTGTCACATGGTGCTATTTGGTTATTTTGCACACTGGTTGATGCAGTTTCTTTGTAGTGCCATGGGTCTTTAAGTTTTGGTGCGTTTTTGCAGTGGCTGCTACTGGCTTTTCCTTTCCATATTATGTGCTTCCTTCAGGAGCTTTTGCAGGACAGACCTGGTAGTAAAGAAATCCCTCAGCATTTGCTTGTCTGGAAAGACTTTTATTTCTTTTTCACTTATGATGCTTAATTTGGCTGGATATTAAATTCTGGGTTGAAAATTCTTTTCTTTAAGAATGTTGAATATTGGCTCCCAATTTCTTCTGGCTTGTAGAGTTTCTGCTGAGAGGTCTGCTGTTAGTCTGATGGGCTTCCCTTTGTAGGTGACTTGGTGTTTCTCTCTGGCTGCCCTTAACAGTTTTTCCTTCATTTCAACCTTGGAGAATCTGATGACTATGTGTCTTGGAGTTGATTTTCTCATGGTGTACTTTAACAGTGTTCTCTGTATTTCCTGAATTTGCATGTTGGCCTGTCTTCCTAGGTTAAGGAAGTTCTCCTGGATAATATACTGAAGTGTGTTTTCCAGCTTGCTTCCATTCTCCCCATCTCCTTCTGATACTCCAATCAATCTTAGGTTTAGTCTTTTTATGAAGTCCCATATTTTTTGAAGGCTTTGTTCATTCCTTTTCATTCTTTTCTCTGTTCTTGTCTGGATGTCTTGTTTCAGTAAGGTGGTCTTCAAACTCTTATATCCTTTCTTCTACTTGGTCAATTCAGCTGTTGATACTTGTGTATGCTTCACGAAGTTCTCGTGCTGTGTTTTTCAGCTCCATCAGATCGTTTATGTTCCTCTCTAAACTGGTTATTCTAGTTAGCAATTCCTCTGACCTTTTATCAAGGTTCTTAGCTTCTTTGCATTAGGTTAGAACATGCTCCTTTAGCTAATCATAGTTTTTTATTAACCATCTTCTGTCAATTACTCCATATGATCCTCTGTGCCAGTTCTGTGCCCTTGATGGAGAGACACTGCAATCATTTGGAGGAGAAGAGGCTCTCTGGGCTTTTGGGTTTTCAGCATTTTTTTCATTGATTATTTCTCATATTTGTGAGTTTGTCTAGTTTTGATCTTTGAGGCTGCTGACCCTTGGATGAGGTTTTTGTGGGGGCCTTTTGTTGTTGATGCTGTTGTTGCCACTTTCGGCTTGTTTTTCTTTCAATAGTCAGGTCCCTCTTCTGTAGGGCTGCTGCAGTTTGCTGGGGGTTCACTTCAGACCCTATTCATCTGATTTGCTCCTGTGCATGGAGATGTCACTCAAGAAGGCTGGAGAGCAGCCAAGATGGGTACCTTCTCCTTCTTCTGGGACCTCTGACCTTGAGGGGCACCAACCTGATGCCAGTAGGATTACTCCTCTATAGGGGGTCTGACAACCCCTCTTGGAAGGTCTCACTCAGTTGGGTGGCATGGGGAATAGGACTTGTTTAATGAAGGACTTTGTTCCTTGGTGGAGAGGGTGTGTTTTACTAGGGGGAAACCCATTCATCTGGGCTGCTCGGATAACTCAGAACTACCAGGAGGAGAGGCTAATTCTGCTGGTCCACAGAGACTGGGGCCGCCCCTCCCCCTGGGGGCTCAGGCTCAGGGACATCCGGGTTCTGTCCCTGAGCCTCTGGCTGGAGTTATTGGAGATGCTGCAGGGAAGCCCCACCCACTGAGGAGGATGTGTCAGGATTAGACCTAGAGAGGCACGCTGGCCGCATACTGCCACAGCCAGTGTGTTGGGCAGTGGGAACAAATCTTGGGAACAAGCCATCCAGCCTTCCTGGTTCCAGCAGGGGAAAAGAGCAGCCTGGGACTATAGAAATGGGTGCCGCCCTTCCCCCGCCCAGGGAGCTTAGGCAGTTGCTAGTCCCAGAGCTGGCTGCTGCCCCTCCCCCAAGGAGCTCAAATGGTGTAGACAGCAGGCAGCCTCAGCCAGTGCTGGCTGCCCCTCCCTGGGGAGTTAGGTAGGCTTAAGCATATTCCAGCTGAGAGGCTATAAGAATCTGCGTGTTCCATGGTTGAGACACTAGGCCCCAGTGGCGTGGGTTCACAAGTGGGATCCATGGGTTTCACAGTTCCGTGGGAAAAGCAGTTTCCCCAGCTGGGTTGTGTGCTCACTCACTGCCTCCCTTGGCTGGGGGGAGGGGATTCCCCTTCCCCGTGCGGCTCTCAGGTGGGCTGCCACACCACACTGCTCTTCCTTCTTTCCGTGGGTCATGCCAGCCTTCTAGTCAATTTTGATGAAAGAACCTGGATACCCTGGTTGCCGCTGAAGGATTCACAAGCCTCTTATGGCTTTTTTTCAATGGGAGACTCCGAATGCTGCTGCTTCAAGTCGGCCATCTTGGCCCCCCCACCTCATTATTAGATTCTAGCTCTGTTCATTGTTTTTGAGGTTTTGTTACCCACCTATAAACTGAACTGAATCCTGAATTCTTCTTATTTCCTTCAATATCTGTGTGTGACCCTTCACACTCACATCTGCAGTTTTCTGCACTTTTCTGACTTGGAATCACTAAAAACGAAAACTACCTTTATTACTGGAGCCCCTACAAACTGGAGCTGGACAACTTGATGTAAATCTTAAGAGAAAACCTTTGTGCCCAATGTGCGAGACACTCAGAGAGTTCACCAAGGCACCTGGTGCTATAACCAGGGACTACCTAACTGCAAACCAGAAAAAAAATAGGCTTTAAGCTCAGATCTGAAAATATTTTCAACTAACTGCCCTCTGAACTCAGAGAAAAAAAAATCGTTTGTTCTAGCCATCAACTTTTGTTTTTCTTTTGTTATTTTAGTTGATTTGGCTCATGGTGACTTTGAGTCAAAAACTGAACCTCTATAACCAAGAATTATGACCAATTATTGGGTACAATTTTGCTAGTAGTTATTCTAGTAATCTCCGGAGTGCACTGCCTCCTCTCATGAATCTTAATGCTTGCTTGCAGCTATCCCCCACACAACAGTTGATCTAATTCTACAATTAGAACAAGATTGAGAGCAACAGAAAAGATCGACCATGGATCCTGAAATTGTGATTTAAAAATTTCACTCTGAGACTAAATAAAAAACTGCAGCATCATGATGACTGAGAGTGGCACTAATGCCTTAAATTTTGATCAAACCGCTCGGTATCACTGAGTCTGGCAAAAGGTGGAAACTTAAAGAAAACATGGCAGGCCTAAAATGAGTCACTCATACTAAAAATCCACATGACCATCTAAACTTAAGTTGTTTATTTGTAAGATCTGGCCTTCTGAGAATTCAAGGAAAACATGATAGCCAAATCCCTAAATGGTCCAGTTTTCAAAACAAATAGGGGATTCTCGCAACCAATCCCAAGGTGCCCAGTCAACCTGAGCCAATATAATGACGTTCCCTCTGTTTTATCCCGTACAAGCAGAGTGATCTCATGTTAAACAATCCACTTTTTTTGAGCTATGCTTCTTCCTTGTTTTTGATAAAGCTGCCTTAAAAAAGGCGACTTTTCTGCTGTGCCTGGAGCTCCTATTTTGAAGACTGGATGATGCCTCGTTCATTAATTGCTGATAAAAGCCAATTCGAACTCTAAAACTCAGTTAGTTGTAATGTCCTTTAGCATAATTAATTTTGGGGATAGAAATCAGAATCAAAATGAAAATAAGACTAGACTGAAAAGATATTTGGAGTGGTACTGGGATTAGTAAATACCGATGACCCTTTTAAGGAGCGTTATAAGTGAAAGTAAAACATCGACATGTTAGCTGGAGAGAAGGACGATTATCTTTGCTTATTTGTTTTGTTTTGTTTTGTTTTTAATATGGGAGAATACTTATTTGCTGATGGCCAAGAACTAATAAGGATTGATGTGGGCAAGAATTGTTAGAGCCACATCCTTAAGGAGCTGAGTGTGAATGTGCACGTTTGGAATTCTAGTGTTAGACTGGAGCACCATCTCATTCGTGGTAATGGCAAGGAAAACAGAGTGCATGATTAAGTATCCAGGCTAAGTGTTTGAGCAAGTGACAAGAGTTTGTGGATGTTCTCTTCTGATTTCTTTTATCAGCGAAATATGAGTCAGCAAGGCAAGACAGTGGGGAGCATAATGACGTTTCAGGATTTATGGAACTAAAGTGAGAATATGCCCTATCATTGTGTGCTTTATTGCAGTTGTGAACAAATTATTTGATGACTTGGATTTAACCAGGTTTGAGGTTTTTCCAGAGAGGCAACTAAAGGGAAAATGGCAAGGGAGTTGCAGGTGTTCGTAGGGAATGACGGTAATCATGAAACCATAGGATATGTGGTTTTCAATGGAAGAACTGAGTACATGGAAAAGGACAATGCAAAAATTGAAGAATTAATGGATAAATGTCTTGGTGGCATAAAATATTAAAGTCTGGAAATGGGAAAGAGAAATATAAGAGGGAGTATTCAAAGATTGAGAGGCTTAAATATAAGAGTAGAGAAGAGTAATGTGATAGCAATCCTGAAGTATAATATATGATGATGAAAGTCAGTGGCTGAGGCAGGTTGATGAACAATACTATTGAAATAGAGAAATCAGGGAATTAAAAAGTAAAGACACTGGAAGAAATAGTTACGTTGACATTAAAATTATAAAAAATTATGATATGAGTATTATTAAAATATGGGACAGTCATCAAAATGCTAAACACTTCAGTAAAAAATAAGTATGGTAAAGTTTAAAAATAGCTTCATATTTTTGGCTTCTGAATGCATGGTATTTTGCATTCTGGTAAAGTGCATAGCTTTACATGTCTTGCTTAAAATACTCTTAAAATACTTGCAGTATCTTAGAGTATACTTCTTCTCTACTCCTTGATGAGATGTGTGGAGTGATCATGATTGTCTTAGTCCATTCAGGCTGCTATAACAAAAATATCACAAGCTGAGTAGCTTATTAAAAACACATTTATTTCTCACAATTCTGGAGGTTGGAACATTCAAGATCAAGACACTGGTAGATTTGGTGTCTGATGAGGGTTCATTTCCTTATAGATGGTACCTTCTAGCTGTGTCCTTATAGACTGAAAGGGGCAAACAAACCTTTTTAGACCTGTTTTACAAGGACATCAATCCCATTCATGAGGGCTTTGACCTCATGACCTAATCACCTCTCAAATATCCCACCTCTTAATACCATCACATTGGGGATTATGTTTTGATAGGGACAGGAGGCAGCCAAATGCCTAGGCAGATAGGCGCAGGTCAAGAAAAGTGACTAGGGGATCTAAAGGTGACTATGACAAGGAGTAGAATGTTTTATTAAAAATATCTAGTTTACAAAGCCAATGAAAAGCAAATTCATAGAAATAAACTTGGAAAATGTAGTGAGACTCCTGAAATGGTAAAAACGATAAGCTCTGCAAATCCTTTGCACAATAAACAAAGATAAAACAAGACAAAATTGTCAAAAATCATTTCAAGATTCTGGAAAATGACCAAAGGAATACAAAACTTTAAGAATAATTTATTAAAGAAAAACTATTAATGCTATGGTAAAAAATAATAATAATAATGGGAATTTGTGGCATTTTAGCTGAGCTGTTCCCATCCTCATAGCTAGCTCTAGCCTGTGGCAATTCTACCATAACAGCTCAAGCCAGGAATCTAATAGCTTCCCTATTAAAGTAGAATGACATGATTTGTAGCTGACAGCAGGGAGACCACACGCTTAGGTACATTGTCAAAAACAATAGTTATCTGTGGCAAATGAACAGGGAAGGCCAACATCACATCTAAACATAGATTGTGAAACTGGTGATTTTAAGCAACAGATCAGAAGATTAGCCAGAAACCTAGCATGAAATTGTGGACAATGCAACAGCCAAAATGGTCTCGAAAGCACCCATATAGTCATGGTAGTCAGGAATATTCCATATATATATGAAGTAGCATCCATGCTCAGGGGAAATTGGAAAGGGCCAAGCTATGCACAATTTCATGGCTGACTCACTAGTAGAGGAGATGGGAGTAAGTCCTGCAGAAAGTAAAACTTGCCTGAGTGAAAACTGCCTGGATATTGAATACTTTTTCCAACACAAAGGTAAATCCATTGGCAAAGAGTGGAAGCCTTATTTTCGCAAGTTGTTGGAACATAGACTCTGACCAGTCAATAAGATATGCCAACCCAAGGACAACCACTAGGAATCCAGGCTCAAAAAATGAAAACGGGAATTGAAAAAAAAAATGCAAAGACATCAGTGATGACACACTGCTAGAGAGGCAGAGTCTTCAGAATTGCTCCAGCAAAGCGCTAAACAAACAAACAACAGAAGAATAGAAACAACGATTTCAAGATAGGCTTTCAGGATTCAGAATTGCCCAACTATATTATATTAAAAATGTCCCGTTTTCAACAAAGTATGACACATAATAAAAAAAAAGTTATATATAATATATTATAAATATTATATTATTTGTAATATTATTATAAACATATTATATATAAATATATATAAAATGCAGGTAATGTAAACTATGTTCTAGTGTTTTATTAGAGGTAAAACTTGTGAGTGACAAAATAGAATATTTAATTGAGAAGATTTCCAAGCAAAATGTTAGAGCATTGAGTGGCATTGTGCCTCCTGACTGCTTACCCTGAAATGCAAAATGATAGAGAAACTGTAAAGCAAAGCAGAACCAAAAGTTGAAGATTTGGAGATTTCCTGCCTATCTTTGTTGCAAAGATTGTTCTAAGGAGAACCCTAAGGAAATGGCTGCACAATCATTTGACAAAAACTTTATAGGATTATATGAGTGAAAACACTGCCTGTTTTAACTGAAAGGGATAGAGACAGGACACAATGAAGGAGGGCTGCCAGACTTCTTAGATTTGACAGGATGGAACGATACAGGTGAAATGAGCTGAAAATGAGCGCTAATAATAGAGAAGAGGAAAAGATACCCTGAAGGTGATTCAGAGATGATCGGAGCCACTGCCTTAATTTCCACAGTTTGGATGGCCTTTGCCTGTAGCCTTGCTGGCAGGACCACCCAGCGACCCCACCCATGGAAGTGACACTGCCCTCCCAGTAGACCTGGAAAAGGGGCATCAAGCCAAACAGCATTATTCTTGAGGCTTACAATCTAAGTAAATTTGTCTTGCTAGACTTTCGGACTTGCTTGGAAACCATGGCCCTTTGCTTCCTTCCTATTTTTCCCTGTGGAACACAAAGTTCTACTTATCAGGTTTCATAGCTGGAGGGGAATTTTGCCTCAGTATGAATTGTACATCCTGACTCACCCACGACAGATTGAGATGATATTTAGATGAGACTTTGGACTTTAAATGTTAGAGTTGGAGCTGTTAGGATGGAATGAACACATTTTGTCTGGGAGAAGGACACGAATATGGGGAAGTGAGGGCTGGAGTTCTATGGAGTAAATTATCTCTCTCCAAAATTTCATATTTTGGAGCCCTGAGCCCCATTGTAACAGTATTTGGAAATGGTATCTTTGGGATATCATAAGGTTTCAATGAGGTCATAGGGGTGGGCCCCTCAAGATGAGATTAGTGCCCTTATGGGAAGAGATACTAGAGAGTTTGCTTTTTGGTGGCCATCTGTAGGCTAGGAAGACAGCCCTCACCAGAATGTAACCATGCTGCTACCCAGGTCTCAGATTTCCAACATCCAGAATAAATATACTACACTATATATACAAAGAAAACCTAAGAAAACTGTTAGCAAGCTGAAGCCAGAAATATATAAAAATGATTATGCATCATGATCAACTGGAACTTTAAATTACTGTAAGACACTTAACTGATATAATGACCAAAAATTCCCATAGTCATCTGAACAGAAACAGAATGTACATTTCACAAAACTCAACACCTACTCCTGATAAAAACAGTAACAATGACAACAACACAGCAGCTAATATTTAATTTATTAGCACATTAAATGGTGAATCTATGGCTTTCCCACAAACATTGAAACTACAACACAAGTCTTCTCTCAACTTACACTTAATCATTGTCCTGGAGGTTCTAGCAAAGACAATATTGCAAGAAAATAAATAAAAAGGCTTCACATTGGAAAGGCTAAAACAAAGTTATGTTTTATCACAAAATGATCCTGTATGCAGAAAGTCCTAAGGAATACACACACACACACACACACACACACACACACAATTACAAGTAATAAACATTTTTTGCAAAAATCACAAGATACGAGATCAATTAACTTTTTTTACACTACCAAATGAACAATCAAAATGAAAATATGAGAAGTAATCATATTAGAAACAAGATTAGGAAATAGGAATAGATTTAACAAAAAGCAAAGGACTCATATACTGAAAAACTACCAAATATTGCTGAGAGAAATCAAAGAAGATCTAAATAATGGGGTGGATATATGATGATCATGGATTAGAATATTCCAAATTGTGAAAAAATATCCTTCCCAAATTGATCTATAGAATTAACACAGTCTCTATCAAAATATAATCATCCTTTTTGCAGAAATGGATAAGGTGGTCTTAAATGGAAATTCAAAGGACACAGAATTGCTAAATATTTTTTAAAACATAAGGAAAAAGTTGGCCAGGCACAGTGGCTCACGCATGTGGTCCCAGCACTTTGGGAGGCCGAGGCAGGTGGATCACGAGGTAAAGAGATCGAGACCATCCTGGCCAATGTGGTGAAACCCCGTCTCTACTAAAAATACAAAAATTAGCTGGGCATGGTGGTGTGTGCCTGTAGTCCCAGTTACTTGTGAGGCTAAGGCAGGAGAATCACTTGAACCCATGAAGCGGAGTTTGCAGTGAGCCGAGATCATGCCATTGCACTCCAGCCTGTGGGACAGAGTGAGACTCCATCACAAAAAATAAATAAATAAATACATAAAGAAAAATAAACATATTGATCACTTATTTTACCCAAGTTTACAATATTTATCATTAAAATACTTAATCACCACCTTTCATCCCCAGTATAAGCCATTATTTTCCTGTCTACAAAAAAAATGTACAGATGGGAAACTTTTATTTCTTTTTAAATAATATCCAAAATGTCAAGCATTATTTTTAAAATTCAGTATAGTTCTAGAATACATACAAGTTTCTATAATAATTCTAAAACTATTTGTAAACTATTATAGAGGTAGCAATTATTTTCTTTATGTTGCTATTTATAAAATTAAACACTATATAAAATTTGATTCTCAATTTACTACTGATATTAATAATTTAAAGTGCATTAATGCAGAGCTAAGGCAAAATTATCAATTCTTTTCTGTTAAAAATATATTCCAAATTATTATTACAATCCCTCATTGCAAATATTAAGGGACATAAATAAATCAGAATATACTTACCAATTGTTTTTCAACTATAACATGCATTTCTATATACTTTGCAAAATCTTGCTGTGGCTGAAAAAATCCACAAATTTTACATCAAAATTACAGAATTACTTAAGTATTTTTAGTGCATGTCACTACTATTAATGAACTAAATATTGAAAAACACAATTTTGCATATAGAAATAAAACCAGATAATATAAGCAACACTAGATATCATAAAATCATTTTCATCTATTTGTCACTTTTCTGTACCTAATCAATTATTTAATTTACTTGGGAAACAACTTCCCTCTATCTTCCATTCTCCATATTTTCATTGGTTCCAAGCTATTCATATTATTCTCTCTTTTACCAGGCCTGCCTTACAAGAGCTCCTGAAGGAAGCACTAAACATGGAAAGGAAAAACCGGTACCAGCCACTGCAAAAACATGCCAAATTGTAAAGACCATCAATGCTAGGAAGAAACTGCATCAATTAACGAGCAAAATAACCAGCTAACATCATAATGACAGGATCAAATTCACACATAACAATATTAACCTTAAATGCAAATGGGCTAAATGCTCCAATTAAAAGACACAGACTGGAAAAATTGGATAAAGAGTCAAGACCCATCAGTGTGCTGTATTCAGGAGACCCATCTCATGTGCAGAGACAAACATAAGCTCAAAATAAAGGGATGTAGGAAGACCTACCAAGCAAATGGAAAACAAAAAAAAAGCAGGGGTTGTAAACCTAGTCTCTGATAAAACAGACTTTAAACCAACAAAGATCAAAAGAGACAAAGAAGGCCATTACATAATGGTAAAGTGATCAATTCAACAAGAAGAGCTAACTATCCTAAATATATATGAGCCAAATACAGGAGCACCCAGATTCATAAAGCAAGTCCTTAGAGACTACAAAGAGACTTAGACTCCCACACAATAATAATGGGCGACTTTAACACCCCACTGTCAACATTAGACAGATCAAAGAGACAGAACGTTAACAAGGATATCCAGGACTTGAACTCAGCTCTGCACCAAGTGGACCTAATAGACATCTACAGAACTCTCCACCCCAAATCAACAGAATATACATTCTTCTCAGCACCACATCGCACTTATTCCAAAATTGACCACATAGTTGGAAGTGAGGCACTCCTCAGCAAATGTAAAAGAACAGAAATTATAACAAACTCTCTCTCAGACCACAGTGCAATCAAATTAGAACTCAGGATTAAGAAACTCACTCAAAACCACTCAACTACATGGAAACTGAACAACCTGCTCCTGAATGACTACTGGGTACATAACGAAATGAAGGCAGAAATAAAGATGTTCTTTGAAACCGATGAGAACAAAGACACAACATACCAGAATCTCTGGGACACATTTAAAGCAGTGTGTAGAGGGAAATTTATAGCACTAAATGCCCACAAGAGAAAGCAGGAAAGATCTAAAATTGACACCCTAACATCACCATTAAAAGAACTAGAGAAGCAAGAGCAAACACATTCAAAACCTAGCAGAAGGCAAGAAATAACTAAGATCAGAGCAGAACTGAAGGAGATAGAGACCAAAAAAAAACCCTTCAAAAAAATCAATGAATCCAGGAGCTGGTTTTTTGAAAAGATCACCAAAATTGATAGACCACTAGCAAGACTAATAAAGAAGAAAAGAGAGAAGAATCAAAAAGACACAATAAAAAATGATAAAGGGGATATCACCACCAATCCCACAGAAATACAAGCTACCATCAGAGAATACTATAAACACCTCTATGAAAATAAACTAGAAAATCTAGAAGAAATGGATAAATTCCTGGACACATACATCCTCCCAAGACTAAACCAAGAAGAAGTTGAATCCCTGAATAGACCAATAACAGGCTCTGAAATTGAGGCAATAATTAACCAAAATAAGTCCAGGACCAGATGGATTCACAGCTGAATTCTACCAGAGGTACAAAGAGGAGCTGGTACCATTCCTTCTGAAACTATTCCAATCAATAGAAAAAGAGGGAATCCTCCCTAACTCATTTTATGAGGCCAGCATCATCCTGATACCAAAGCCTGGGGCAGACACAACAAAAAAAGTAAATTTTAGACCAATATTCCTGAGGAACATCAATGCAAAAATCCTCAATAAAATACTGGCAAACCGAATCCAGCAGCACATCAAAAAGCTTATCCACCACGATCAAGCTGGCTTCATCCCTGGGATGCAGGGCTGGTTCAACATATTCAAATCAATAAACGTAATCCAGCATATAAACAGAACCAAAGACAAAAACCACATGATTATCTCAACAGATGCAGAAAAGGCCTTCGACAAAATTCAACAGCGCTTCAGGCTAAAAACTCTCAATAAACTAGGTATTGATGGGACGTATCTCAAAATAATAAGAGCTATTTATGACAAACCCACAGCCAATGTCATACTGAATGGGCAAAAACTGGAAGCATTCCCTTTGAAAACTGGCACAAGACAGGGATGTCCTCTCTCACCACTCCTATTCAACATAGTGTTGGAAGTTCTGGCCAGGGCAATCAGGCAAGAGAAAGAAATAAAGCATATTCAATTAGGAAGAGGGGAAGTTAAATTGTCCCTGTTTGCAGATGACATGATTGTATATTTAGAAAACCCCATCATCTCAGCCTAAAATCTCCTTAAGCTGATAAGCAACTTCAGCAAAGTCTCAGGATACAAAATCAATGTGCAAAAATCACAAGCATTCCTATACAATAACAGACAAACAGAGAGCCAAATCATGAGTAAACTCCCATTCACAATTGCTTCAAAGAGAATAAAATACCTAGGAATCCAACTTACCAGGGATGTGAAGGACCTCTTCAAGGAGAACTACAAACCACTGCTCAACGAAATAAAAGAGGACACAAACAAATGGAAGAACATTCCATGCTCATGGATAGGAAGAATCAATATTGTGAAAATGACCATACTGCTGAAGGTAATTTATGGATTCAATGCCATCCCCATCAAGCTACTAATGACTTTCTTCACAGAATTGGAAAAAACTACTTTAAAGTTCATATGGAACCAAAAATGAGCCCGCATAGCCAAGACAATCCTAAGCCAAAAGAACAAAGCTGGAGGCATCACACTACCTGACTTCAAACTATACTACAAGGCCACAGTAACCAAAACAGCATGGTACTGGTACCAAAACAGAGATATAGACCAATGGAACAGATCAGAGCCCTCAGAAATAGTACCGCACATCTACAACCATCTGATCTTTGACAAACCTGACAAAAACAAGAAATGGTTTTTCCCTATTTAATAAATGGTGCTGGGAAAACTGGCTAGCCATATGTAGAAAGCTGAAACTGGATCCCTTCCTTACCTTATACAAAAATTAATTCAAGATGGATTAAAGACTTAAATGTTAGACCTAAAACCATGAAAACCCTAGAAGAAAACCTAGGCAATACCATTCAGGACATAGGCATGGGCAAGGACTTCAGGACTAAAACACCAAAAGCAATGGCAACAAAAGCCAAAATTGTCAAATGGGACCTAATTAAACTAAAGCGCTTTTGCACAGCAAAAGAGACTACCATCAGAGTGAAGAGGCAACCTATAGAATGGGAGAAAAGTTTTACAATCTAACCATCTGACAAAGGGTTAATATCCAGAATCTACAAAGAACTTAAACAAATTTACAAGAAAAAATCAAACAACCCCATCAAAAAGTGGGTGAAGGATATGAACAGACACTTCTCAAAAGAAGACGTTTATGCAGCCAACAGACAGATGAAAAAATGCTCATCATCACTGGCCATCAGAGAAATGCAAGTCAAAACTACAATGAGATACCATCTCACACCAGTTAGAATGGTGATCATTAAAAAATCAGGAAACAACAGGTGCTGGAGAGGATGTGGAGAAATAGGAACATTTTTACACTGTTGGTGGGACTATAAACTAGTTCAACACTTGTGGAAGACAGTGTGGCAATTCCTCAAGGATCTAGAACTAGAAATACCATTTGACCCAGCCATCCCATTACTGGGTATATACCCAAAGGATTATAAATCATGCTGCTATAAGGACACATGCACACGTATGTTTATTGGAGCACTATTCACGATAGCAAAGACTTGGAACCAACCCAAATGTCCATCAATGACAGACTGGATAAAGAAAATGTGGCACATACACACCATGGAATACTATGTAGCCATAAAAAAGGATGAGTTCATGTCCTTTGTAGGGACATGGATGAAGCTGGAAACCATCATTCTGAGCAAACTATCACAAGGACAGAAAGTCAAACACCACATGTTCTCACTCAGAAGTGGGAATTAAACAATTAGAACACTTGGACACAAGCTGGGGAACTTCACACACCAGGGCCTGTTGTGGGGTTGCGGGCGGGGAGGGATAACATTAGGAGATACACCTAATGTAAATGACGAGTTAATGGGTGCAGCACACCAACATGGCACGTGTATACATATGGAAGAAAGCTGCACGTTGTGCACATGTACCCTAGAACTTAAAGTATAATAAAAAATAAATAAATAAAATAAATATATGTAAATAAATGTGTGTGTTGAAAAGGTGGGCAGAAAAAAAAAAGAAAAGAAAACTACACAGATGCATGAGAGAATGCCAGGAGCTGTGTGTGTTGAAAAGGTGGTCAGATGCCAATTTTAAAAATCCACAGGCCAGGCGTGGTGGCTCACACCTGTAATCCCAGCACTTTGGGAGGCCGAGGTGGGTGGATCACTTGAGGCCAAGAGTTCGAGACCAGCCTGGCCAACATGGCAAAACCCTGTCTCTACTAAAAATACAAAAAATTAGCTGGGCATTGTGGCTCACACCTGTAATCACAGCTAGTCAGGAGGCTGAGGCAGGAGAATCGCTTGAAACTGGGAGGCAGAGGTTGCAGTGAGCCAAGATCACACCACTGCACTCCAGTCTGGGTGACAGAGTGAGACTCTGTCTCAGAAAAAAAAAAAAAATCCACAATAGCCAAGCCATTTTATTAAGACAAAGTAGCCCTAAAAGGAGACAAAAGTGCTTACATACATGATGTTGAAAGAGGACTCCAAATTTAGGACAAAGGTTGCCTTGGCCAAATAAAGACTAAGGAATTGGATCTAGTCAGAAATATCAGAGAACTCACAGTATTACACTGATCCATTTGCAATATGTATGAATGAAATATTCAGATTTAAAAACGTCAAAGGTCCTTGGTTAAGAATATTCAGGAAGTTGGAAGAAAAATGTAGGTGATTGATTTATCCATCAATAAATAGACAGATAGATAGATATGGGGTGTGTGGGTGCGGGTGTCCATGTGTGTGTGTTTCAATCGAACAACCAACATGTCCTGTATTGAATTATCAACTCAGGAGAAAATTTGGACTGGGACTGAATATCTGTAGGTTACAGTAGGTAAAGCCATAGAACTATATATATATATGATATATATGTAATATATATATTATATGTGATGATAACAAGCTCAAACATGAGATATAACAGAGCAAATATCAATATTTAAAATGTGAATGTATAAGGAAAAGTCAGAAAAAGTAAGAAAGAATGAGAAGCAAGAGACAGCATTATTGCAGAAAATAAGATGACTAGAAAGTTCTAGGGAATTTTTACTTTCACTCTTTAAAAATGTATCTCAATATTTCAAAAAGCCAATTTAACAATGGATCACCACTGATTATTTGTGGAGACAGAAACTGCATTTTTGTGAAATGAATAGTTAATGAGCTGTCAGGATGGATAGTTCCACTTATTCTAATATAAAGCTGGTATGTGAAGAAATGGAAAGTGCTAGGTATATAATAGATTCTATTTTATTTCATTTATTTTTAAATCTATTTTTAGTATTAAGGAGATATGATTATGTTCGTATAATGAAGGAACTGTAGATGATAATTCAAAATATTACACATAATAAAATGATTAATGGAATAAGGTTATAGGATCTTTCTGTTTAGAATTATAAGGATGGAACTCAAGTGAGAGAAAATAATAGATACTCAAATTTAGGAATTAAATTTTTATGTTGGAAGTAGGTGGAGGATAAAATGAGGCTAGCAAATAAAATGAGATAGAATAGGAATACAGATGGTTGAGAACTGTGATTTCCCCATTGCTCTACATTTTCAGATGTTTCTTTGAATATGCTTATTTATTCATGTTTTGTAAGTGAACTTAATAATCAACTTGGCAAGCACTTCCTGGTAGAAGCTTCTTGGTATTTTGGGAAATGGGGCAGGGAATTACATGAAATTTTTAACCAAAACAAATGAATAACTTTATGACCTTTTAAATACAGCAGAAAGAATATTTAAATGATAATAATTTTTATTTCCAAAAGTGAGGACAGCATAAAACAGCATGAGGGAATGAACAGAATGAGAAAAGATATGAATTATTTAAAACAATAATGTGAGTAATAACAGTAGTAGTCCTATGAAGTGTATAATATGTATAAAAATAAAAACATATAATGATAGCACAAAGTAGAACTTTTAAAGTTTTAAATAGTTCCACCACAATTAGATATCAGTTCACACATAATAGGATGGCTATAATCAAAATGACTGGTAATAAATGTTGAAAAAAAAATGTGGAGGAGGTCAGGCACGGTGGCTCACATCTGTAATCCCAGCAGTTTGGGAGGCTGAGGTGGGTGAATCACCTGAGGTCAGGAGTTCAAGACCAGCCTGGCCAACATGGTGAAACCCCATCTCAACTAAAAATGCAAAAAATTAGCCGAGCGTGGTGGTGTGCACCTCTAATACCAGCTACTCGGGAGGCTGAGGCAGGAGAATCACTTGAACCCGGGAGGTGGAGGTTGCAGTGAGCAGAGATCACGCCATTGCACTCCAGCCTGGGCAACAAGAGTGAAACTACATCTCAAAAAATAAAAAACAACAAATAAATAAATGTGGAGGAATTGGAACCCACAGATGTTGTTTCAGGAGATATAAAATTGTCAGCCACATTGGACAAATAATCTGGCAGCCACTCAAAAGGTGAAACACAGAGTCTGCGTATGACCTAGCAGTTCAAATCTTAGTAATTACCTAGAGAAATAAAAACATATATCCACATAAAACATATATTAATGTTCCTAGCAATATTATAATATTTAAAAAGTAGAAACAACCAATTTGTTCATCAGCTTATGACTATATGACCACGAGTGGTATATTTATACCCAGGCACATGTTATTCAGCCATAAATATAAAAGAGGTACTGATGAGCTTTGACCACCTTATAAGTGAAAGAAGTCACAAAAGATATTGTAAGATTCCAGTTATATAAAATATCTTGAAAAGGCAAGTCTATATCTATGACAATAGATTTGTAGTTTCCCGGGAAGACAGGGGAATGAAGAATGACTGCCATGGTTATAAAGTTTCTTTGTAGGGCATAGAGTCTCTGTCACAACTATTCAAGTTTGCCACCATAATATGAAAGTATACATAAACAATATATAGAATAGCAGTAATAGATGTTATTTATACAAACAGCCTGTGGGCCAGATTTGGCCTGAGGGCCATAGTTTGTCAACTCCTAATTAGACTAGCCACTAAAATTATTATGTTGTAAAAATTGTTTTGTATTCACAGACTATATAAGAGCAAAATATATGAAACAATATATAATGTAAAAGCTCATTAGAGGAGAAAAATAAAAATACTTGATTAATAAAAAAGATGTAACATCATGATTAAATCCTTGAAAAAAATAAATAGATTAGATATAAAAGAAGAAAGAATAAAGGAATAAGGAACATATAAGACAAATAAGAAATGACAAAGTGGTAGATTAAATCTAAATTATGTAAGTGTGTGCATTAAAAGTAGATGCAATAAATAACCTTGGCAACTAGAAAAGTTGAGCTCATAGAAGTAGAGAGTGACATCGTGGTCATGAGAGGATAGGAAGGGTCAGGGGAGGAACGGATGGGGAAAGGTTGGCTATTGGTTACAAAAGTACAGCTAGATAGAAGGAGTAAGTTCTAGTGTTCTATAGCACCATAGGGTGACTATAGTTAACAATAATTTATTGTATGTTTTCAAGTAGCTTAAAGAGGCAATTTTGAATGTTCCCAACATAAACAAATGATAAATGTTTAAGGTAATAAATAAGCTAATTACCCTGATTTGATCATTACACATTTTATTCAAGTATCAAAATATCATTTGTATCCCATAAGTGTGATTATTATCTGTCAGTTAAACATAAAATTGTCATATGTGATTTAAAACGTTTAAAAACTTAGTAATATGTGCTTTAAAAGAGATACACTTTAATTAAAATATTATTAGCTACTCTGACCACACAAAAAAGAAAATATTTAAATTAATAAAATCAGAAATGAAAAAGAAGATTACTAAAAATCGTACCGATATTTAAAGACCTATAAGGGAGTCCTACAAACAACAATATGACAAGAAATAAATAGATAAAATAGAAAAACCTCTATAGACACACAAACTACCTAAATTGACTCCAAAAGAAATTAGAAAATTATAATAGACTTAATGAGAAAAAATTTAATTACTAATAAAAATCCTTCCCTAAAAATGTCCAATCCCAGATGGATTTTACAGATGTTGAAATAATTAAATCAATCCTCCACAAAGTCTTCCAGAATAGAGGAGACAACACTTCCCAACTCATTTCGTGAAGTTTGTAACACCCTGATACCAAAGACAGAGAAAAATATCATATGAAAACAAGTCTGCACAGCAATATTCTTTATAAATATAAATGAAAAAAATCTTCAAAATTATGCCAGCAAACTGAACCCAGCAATACATAAAAAGAATTATGCACTATAACAAAGAGAGACTGGATACAAGGTTAGTTTAATAATCAAAAGTCAATTAATGCAATACACCACATTAACAAAATAACGATAAAAATGAAATTATTATCTCAACATACGTTGCAGAACAAAAATATCTGACAAAATCCAACAACCCTTAATGACAAAACAAAAATCATTAACAAACTAACACTGGATGAAACCTTCTTTAACCTGATAAAGGGCACCTGTGAAAAAATTACAAATAACATGCTTAAGGGTGACAGACTGAATCTTTTCTCCCTAAGATTGGGAAAAGATGAGAACATCTCTTTTTCACCTATTCTATTCAACATTATAATGGAAGTAGTAATCAGGACAATTAAGTAAGAAAAAGGAAATTTGAGATATCCTAGTTGGAAAGAAACAAGATAAACTATCTTTATTCAAGATGGCATGACCATGTACATAAAAAGTCGTGGAGTTCAATAGAGAACTAATAAACAAGTTTGTCAAGTTCACAGAATACAAAACCAATATGGAAAATTCACTAATTACCAAATACTAATAATGAGAAATCCAAACTGATATAAAATTTAAATAACATCTAAAGTAATAACACTTCTATAAATAACAAAAGAAGCTTTACTGAAGACTTAGGCTTAAATATATAAAACATTGCAGAAATAAATTAAAGAATATCTAAAAACTAAAAGCTACCTACTGCTCATGGACAGAGTTAATATTGTTAATATAGCAGTATTCCTCAGGTTTATCTACAGATTCAACACAATCCTGGGTGCCATTTTTTGGAAATTAAAAATAAATAAATTTTAAAATACGTTTGGAAATGCATAGTAGCCAGAATAACCAAAATAATCTTGGAAAATAAGAATATTGAAGGATGTACACTTACCAATTCCAAATCTTACTACAAAAATACAGTAGTAAAGAAAACGTGGTAGTGGCATTAGAGTAGACATAAAGATTAATGGACTATAATTTTAAGTCTGGTAATAATACTTAACATTTATTGTCAACTGATCTTTGAAAAAAATCAAGAATGCTCAATGAGGAAAAAATAATCTCTTCAACAAATGGTGTGAGGACAGCTGGATATTGATATAAAAAAATTTGAATTTCTACCTCATCCAATAAAAAATATTAAAGTATCATATATCAAAATGAGATTAAAGAATAAAACATTTAGAAGAAACATAAGAATAAATGATGTGATATTGGTGTGATGATTAATTTTACCTGTAAACTTGGCTGGGCCACTGTGCCCAGATATTAGGTCAAACATTAGCCTGGATGCCTCTGTGAAGGTGCCTTTTAGACAAAATTAACATTTAAGTTGGTAAAGCTCTAGTAAAGCACATTACTCTTCATTATGTGGGTGAACTTCATCCAATCAGTTAAAGCCGTTTTTAGAAAACAGAGTATTTTCTAAACAAAAGGGAATTCTGCCAGCAGACTATGTTGGTCTTAAACTGCAAATCTTCCTTGGATAACCAGCCTGCCTGCTTACCCTGTAGATTTTGGATTTACCAAGCCTTCACAATCATCTGAGTCAATTCTATAAAATCTCTCTCTCCCTCTCTCTGTATGTACTCTCCCTCTCTGTGTATGTACACAAACACACACATATATATCTCCTATTGGTTTTCTATTCTCTGGAGAACCCTGATATAGATGTGGGTACCAGGAATGAGGTGCCAAGAAAAGAGAATCTTAAGCGGACATCTTCTGAATTGGTGCTGGGGTTTTGGGAATTTGCCTTCTACTTTGACTAGATTTAAAGACAATTCTATAGAGAGAAGATAGTTCATGGCATGATGTAGCAACAAAGACAGGCAAAATATTACCACTGAATACTTCTGATCAAAGACTTATGAAGGCAAGGGTCTTGGTGACCATGTATATGATACTTTTGAACATTTTTGTCAAACTAGCAAATATAATGAGATTGGCTGCTCCTAATGTTGCTGGACAAAGTGGAGAAAGAAGAGAATAAGCCAAAGTATTTGAATTACCATCTCAAGTGATGCATAAATTATCCAAAAGCTTCTTTGTGTGTCTTGAAATAAATTTTTATATCCCATAGCCACAGAGCTGAGATTACTGAAAACCAAACCCAGAATCTTATCCTGTCAGTGGATGAATTACAGTGCAAACTGAATTCCTAACCTCCCATGGTACTGCCGTCAAAGAGAAAGCATTGAGTGGGAAGCAGTGGGATCCTGAAAATTGGAATGGGAACCTAGAGAAGAACCCTAATGAAGCTGGGGCTATAAAACTCCTAAATGCTGGTGAATCTTGTTTGCTAATAGAAGCAACCTCTCTCTCACTTTCTGAGGATATTAAATAACCCTGAATCCCCTGAGGAAAATATAATGACCTCCCCTGAGGCAGTTCCCTTACAAGATAGGGGTGACTCTCCTCAGGACCCTAGATATGTATCTCCATTTTTTATGTGGATGGCATTTGTGTTTGTTACACCAGAATTTTAACATAATGGCTATGGGGAAAGGAGTACATCTGCTGACAATAAAGGTCTAGATTACAGAAAAAGATGCCACTAACAGTTGAAAATGTCATGATTGGAGTTCTGGAAAATTACAAAACTAGTTTTAAGGCTTAATGATATAAGTTATGAAGTTTCTGGTACATGTATCCATACATGTGGCTATATGTTTTGGTGTTTATGGGTGTGTAAATATGTAATTTATCAACTATAAATTTCAGTGCTTACATTGCTGTATAGTAATAACCATAGAGTTTGTTCAATTAATCACCTACCTCTACGCTTTGTAATTTAAAGGACAGATCTCTTGATTCAATATCCTTCTCATTATATAAGGAAACATCTGCTTTCTTATGTTTTACTTGGTAAATTACATGTTCAAAGCCAACTGAAGACTCCAGGGGTTCTATTCCATAACTAACATTTTCAAACTGTAGTACGCCCCTAAAAATTTCAAAAAAAAATTAATAAGTAAAACAATGCCTTGTGGAAAAGCCAATAAAATGCCACTTAGCATTATTTTTTCATGGTATGCAGATTATTTTTAGCCTGAATCTAAGGTGATAAAATAGGAGAAAGTTACTGGGTATCCACAAACTTACTGAGTGACACCGCATAGTAATGCTGTTAGCATTTGCCTAGCTATTAATATTTCATGGCTTCCAAATATATTTAAAAAATCATAATCCTGCATAAGGGCAGGAGCCATCATAAGTATTTCCATACCATGCTTTGTGAGTGGCAGTTTTCCACAATAGTCATGCCACACTTTAGAACCACTGAATATTATGTTAAAATGTTTAAAATAATTTTGAAGTAAATATTTTATTTTGTAATTCATAAAACAGTAAATTACAACCTGAGTCCAGTACATGTGCTAACCATCACCACAGATTTTGGATAACCTTCAATATACCCTTGGTAGTGGCAGAAATTCTGAAAGATAAAATACACATATCTCCATTAGAATGGTTTGTGTTACAGATACAATTTTCAAATATGTAAAACATATATGTGTTTTGTTTTTATGCATCAAACACTCATGTTTCAAAAATGGATTTATAATGTTATTAGATGAGCATATGGCTTGGTTTTCCAAAGTACTCCCCACAGATTTATAAAAAATGAGTATATTTTCATATTTCTATAGGTTTTAAATTAAGCATGACATTCTCAGTTGTTAAGAATGAGGTAAACATCATCAAAACTTATATTTTTCATACTTTTCTGACAATGTTGCATGGTAGATAAGCAAAGTTAATTTTTAATTCCATCAAAATGTTTTCATTTGCAAATTTCACCTGGATTTTGTATTTACTTTTGCTTTATAGTTCATCTTTCTACTGTGATACCTAAAATCTTAGTTTGTACCACTTTCCAAATACCATACTTCATGGACTCAATACACTGTATTTCTATTTCCATCTTATTTAGAAATTTATGTGAAAATATTTGTGCTTTTATTTTTATCACCAATTGGGGTATACTTCATACTTTATATAATGAAGGTAAAAATATCTTGAACATTCCACAGCTTTTATCTTCTTCCTTCCAGATGTGGTTTATAATATCCAGATTGATAACATTTCTAATTCTGTGGAGTATCAGGAAGTTACATCAACCTTAAACACAGGATGACATTGAGAAACTTAGAAATGAAAGAATAAGTCATTTTTAAGTCACATAGGATAAAATTTTCATGGAAGAATCAAAAAGCTTCACTTATTACCCAATATCCTTTCGCAGTTTATTTTTATCTTTTATTTTTATCAGTCAGTTTTGCATTGTTTGCCTTCACTATAATATCTTCTTGTTCAATATTACATTTGCACTTGAAAAGTATGTGTATACACTTGATATATTTGCTGAATTTCTTTCTACTTCATTTAGAAGTTTACAAAGTTTCTTTCTACTTTATTATTAGAAGAGAAGTGTTTAAATCTTCAAATATAAGTATTATTTGTCTGTTTCTTTCATTTCCGTCAATTATGCCTTCCATAATTTGAGGATTTGAGGTCTGTTTTTTTTTTGTTTTGTTTTGTTTTTTGTTTTTTGCTTTTTATGATGGAGTCTTGCTCTGTCGCCAGGCTGGTGTGCAGTGGCGTGATCTCGGCTCACTGCAATCTCCTCCACCTGGGTTCCAGTGATTCTCCTGCCTCAGCCTCCTGAGTAGCTGGGACTACAGGCACATGCTGCCATGCCCAGCTAATTTTTGTATTTTTAGTACAGACGGGGTTTCACCATTTTGGTCAGGATGGTCTCCATCTCTTGACCTCATGATCTGCCCGCGTTGGCCTCCCAAAGTTCTGGGATTACCGGTGTGAGCCACCACACCCGGCCTGAGGTCTGTTTTTATGTGCACATACATTTTAGATTGTTTAAGCATCCTGGTAATTTTACCTTTTAATTATGATGACTATCTGTTTGTCCTGGAGAGATCACAAAATCCAGGACAATGATGAATGGCTTACACTTGTCCTACTCTGGATGCAGGGAACAAACTCTTTCCTGGTTTAGCTGGCTGATTTTTTTTCTTTTGTAGATAAGTCTTTATTTATCAAGATAATATGACTTTAGGAATGGGAATCATGTGTGGACTTAAGATAAATAAATAATCCAATAAATACACCTGTTCCCAACTGAATTTAATGAGCTTTTTCCTAGGATAGAGGTAGGCCTGCAACCTTGGCAAACACAATTTATTTTCAAGGCAGCATGTTTTTACTACATTTGAGATCAACTTGCAACTACTTACCACATTCAGATTGTTGATGCTTTGAATGCTTTGTAGCATTCTTGCTTGTTTTTTTTTTTTAACTGTACATTTATCTTTCATGGTTACCTCTTGGGAGGTAGGAAGCAGAGTTATGTATGGAAGAATGATACAAAATACAGGTGTGAGATATTGTGATCTCCTGTGCCTCTGTCTTGGATTCTCACTCTATCTTCTGTCCTCTCTCTCATGCATGCAAATACAAACACACATACGCACACACACATATGTATGTGTGTGTATAACACTATGTAACAGTATATTAGTTATATATTTATATAGACTACTCTATAACTGACTCATAGAGTTGTGTACTCTCTTGGGCAAAACTTAAAGCAACTAACCATATCTATTACTTCTTCTGTTGAAATCCTAGCCTCTCTAAAAATGCTTTACTTTCAAAACACTTGATTGAGTCGCTATATAGAAATCAAGAACAACAAATGGAAAACACAACAGCAATTAGTAGAGCAGGGCTGAGGTTAAAAAACAAAAGAACAGAGGCCAGGAGTAGTGACTCACTGCTGTAATCCCAGCACTTTGGGAGGCCAAGGCAGGTGGATCACCTGAGGTCGGGAGTTCGACACCAGCCTGACCAACATGGAGAAACCCTGTCTCTACTAAAAATACAAAATTAGCCGGGCATGGTGACACATGCCTGTAATCCCAGCTACTTGGGAGGCTGAGGCAGGAGAATCACTTGAACCCAGGAGGCGGAGGTTGCGGTGAGCTGAGATCGCGCCATTGCACTCCAGCCTGAGTGAAACTCTATCTCAAAAAAAAAAAAAAAAAAAAGAACACTTCAGGCATGACTAATCCTGGCAATTTTATTCACTCTTCTTTATTATTTTTTAAAAAAATTATAGACAACATTAAATTAAGCTCTACATGTTCCAAATAGATGAAAATTTAATATACTCCTAAACGTGTGTGAAACTTCATGTGTACTTATTTGGTCCTTGAACATACTTCAAAGAAGATTAGATTCTTATTTTCTCCTCAGATTTAGCTTTCCTGATACAAGTCATGGTTTTTCATTTTACATATTTCACAACATATTTAGTCCCTATCACCTCAGGTACATAAGCCCTTAGCATGTGTCTAAATAGTTTAGAAACACTACAATCATGTCTTTTTAGTTAATCATCTGTTTAATAGGGCTAACTCAGTACATCAGTATACATCATTAACAGGAAAACATTAAACTTATGCCAAGAAGCCATGACCCAACACTTTAGACTCTAATAACATGTGGACACTAAATAAGGTGATCATAGACACTCACATGACAAAAATAAAAGAGATCATAAAAAACATACCTGAAAATCTTGGTCAAGTGGTTTCATAATTCCTGTGCCACTATAACTGTAAACTCTAAAATTATGGGGTAAAAAGTTTCTGTAACATAAAGATAAAATGGAAAAATTTGATTCTTAACCTTTTGTTTTGAAACATTTATTTTATTAATTATAGACAGGTAGGTTGACACAGAAAGAGCAAGAGAAACAGAGGGATATTTTCTAAATATATGGATTTTGTTCTAAATTTTACTCAAACATCTTACACTTCACTCACTCTATTGTTACTCTGTCCTCCTAGCTGTTTTCCAAACACAACAGGCAAGCTTGGACCTCACGATATTTGTACCATTTTGTTGGCCATTCCTGGAAAGTTCTTCAACATAGTTCATTGTTCTCCATCTACTTTAAGTCTTTGCTTATACATCAACTTCCCACTGAGGTTTATCTTGAAAATTTTATTTAAAATGTCAACTTGTTCAATCACCAAAGCATAGGATTTTTAAACCATACTCTAAATTTGCTCTATAGTTTTTGCCCAAGCATATATTACCTTCTCACATTCTTTCTACTCTATTTATTTATTATATAATTATTCATCTCATTTGATGATAATATAAACTTAGAGATTTGCATCTATGTTGTTACTAATACTAATGCACCCCAAGCATTAGTATTGTTTGCCAAAGTTACATAAAAAGTTAAGCTAATCTCAGAAGATCAGAGCATTTTTGTTTCAAAATTGATGACACAGTATCAAAAAGCTTTATGTAAATCAAGTAGGATAAAGGGAAATAAAAGTCAGATATAAATATATCATCAAAAGAAAAAAAAAGACTAACAAAAGCCCAGATGAACTTTAAAGATCTTTAAAGTTTCAAGAAAAAAGGATGTTACTTTTGAAGAAACGAATAATTCTTAATAAACCAATTAACAAATAATACAGCTACTTCATCAATAGAAAAGGAAAAAAAAGTCAGAAAACAATGGAATGATGATTTAAAAGGCAAACGACATCTTTTTCAAAGACATCTTAGAATTTATTCCAGCAAAAATTTATAAGAATATAGTTAAGTTGTTTCATATGAATTTTAGCATTGTTTTTTATTTACATTTCTGTGAAAAATGTCATTAGAATTTTGAGAGGGTTTGCACTGAATCTGTAGATTGCTTTGGGTACTATGGACATTTTAGCAATATTTATTTTTCCAGTTCATGAACATGCTTTATCTTTCTATTTATTTGCTGTTTTCCTTCATTTCTTTTAAGAATGTTTTATAGTTTTCAATGTACAGATCTTTTACCTCCTTCATTAAATTTGTCTAAATAGCCAAAACGAGCTTGACCAAAATGAACACAGCTAGAGGCATCATACTACTTGACTTCAAACTATACTGTATAGCCATAGTAACCAAAAGAGCATAGTACTGGTATAAAAATAGATATATAGACCAATGGAACAATATAGATATAAGAGAAATAAAACAACGCATTTACAGTCAGTTGGTGTTTGACAAAATTGTCAAGAAGACACAATGGGGAAAGGACAGTCCCTTCAATGAAATCACATAGAGAAAACTGGACACCCACATGCAGAAAAACAAAATTGCATCGTTTCACACACCATATTAAAAAAGCACTCAAGGCCAGGAGCAGTGGCTCACGCCTGTAATCCCAGCACTTTGGAAAGCCGAGGCGGGTAGATCACGAGGTCGGGAGATTGAGACCATCCTGGCTAAAATGGTGAAACCCCGACTCTACTAAAAATACAAAAAATTAGCCAGGCATGGTGGTGGGCGCCTGTAGTCCCAGCTACTTGGGAGGCTGAGGCAGGAGAATGGTGTGAACCCAGGAGGCAGAGCTTGCAGTGAGCCGAGACAGCGCCACTGCACTCCAGCCTTGGCTACAGAGCGAGAAAAAAAAAAAACAAAAAAACCAAAAAAAACTCAAAATGGATTAAAACTTAACCATAATAGTTATGATGCTAAAACTACTAGAAGAAAGCATAGAGGAAATGCTTGACATTGGTCTGGGTGATGATTTTTTGGATATGACTACAAAAGCACAGGTAACAAAACCAAAACTAGACAAAAACTAGACAAATGGGAGTACACAAAATTTAGAAGCTTCTGTACAGCAAAGGAAACACCACCACAAAGAGACAACCTAAAGAATGGGAGAAAAGATTTGCCAACTATACATCTAATAAGGGGTCAAAATCCAAAATGTATAGGAATACAAACAACTCAGAAAAAAAAAATTGAAAATGAGCAAAATACCTAAATAGACTTTCTCAAAAGAAGACATACATATGGCCAAGAGGTATATGAAAAACTTCTCATTCTCACTAATCATCAGAAAAAAGTATATCAAAACCACCATGGGATAACACCTTACTCCTGTTTGATTGGCTATTATCAAAAAGACAGAGGAGAACAAGTGTTGGCAAGGACATGGAGAAAGGGGAACACTTCCACAATGTTGGTGGAAATGTAAATTAGTACAACCATTATGGAAAATAATAAGGAGGTTTCTCAAAATGTTAAAAATAGAACTACTGTATGATTCAGCCGTCCCTTTACTGGGCATATATCCAAAGCAAATAAAATTAGTATGTTGAAGAGATATCTGTAATAAACATCTCCCAGGTTTATTGCAGTAGTCAAGATACGGAATCAAGCTTAAGTTTCCATCAATGGACAAATGGATAAAGAAAATGCAGTATATATGCACAATGGAATACTAGGCAGTCATAAAAACAAAAGAAATTCTTTCATTTGCTACAGGCTGGATGAATCTGGAGGGCATTATGTAAAGCAAAATAAGCCAAGTTTAGAAAGAAAAATATTGCCTGATCTCATTTATATGGAGAGTCTAAAAAATTCAAACTCATAGAAGCAGAGAGTAGAATGATGGTTTTTAGGGGCTGAGAGTGGGAAAATGGGAGATGATGGTTAAAGAGAAGAAAGTTTCATTTAGAAGGAATAAGCTCTGGAGAGCTTTTGTACAACAAGTTGACTGTAGTTAGTAATGTTTTATACTTGAAAATTGCTAAGGGATTAGATCTCAAGTATTCTCAACCTCAAAAAAGGTAAGTATTTGAATTGATGAATATGTTAATTAGCTTAGTCATTTCACAATGTATACATATCTAAAAATATGTTGCGAACTGTTTATATATAATTTTTTCTGTTAATTAGACCTTTATATAGCTGGAAGGGGAAGACTATGATTAAATAAAGATTTAATGACAAATAAAAACACATATAATTTAAAACAAGCAGTCTTATAATAGAAATATATTAAGAATTTCTGAGATATATCAAAATTAGCTTCAGATAGAAGCACAGAAATGTAGGGAGAACTAAAGATCACCAGAATTGGTAAATTTTGGTTAAATTAAAATGAATACTGACTTTATAAAAAATAGTAATACTTCATGGGGATTTAAAAATATACAGGTTTGTGATGTGTGAAAAAAAATAATGAATGGGAAGCAGAGGGTAAAGGGTGTTAGAGATTTAAGGATCTAAAAACATATGGTAATTGGTAGGAGGACTAATTTGTAATAGATTCAATTACTCAAGAGTTGATATGTTAACGTAGAGAAACTACTAAAAGAAGAGTAAAAGAATGTATAACAAATAATTTAATTGAGGAATAATGTATAATATAAATTAGTAGATTCAATCGGATAGAGGCAATGAAGAAAAAAGAGGAATATAAAACAAAAGATAAAACAGAAAAAATAATGTTTCCAAAATCATGTGAAAATTTAAACAATCAAGAAGAGTAAGCACACCTTAAAACTAAAGGACAAGTCTGGTTATAAACACCTATTATAAAGTCATAGTAATTAAAACTATGACATTTGGACAGATAAATTAGACAGGGTCTAAGAATGAGCATTTAAACAAAGAGAAGAGAACAAAGAATCCAGAGACTTCTTTATATACAGTCATTTAATTTATTAAAAAAGATTACATTACAGTGCAGTGAAGAAATATCATTTTTAAATTGTGCTGGGTCCACTGGATGCTAATTTGAAAGAAAAATAATTGCCAAAACATCTATGATGAGGAAAAAGGTGAAAAGGCTTTATCTTTAGGCTATCAAGATTTATCATAAATAGACAAATAGACCAAAAAGTTTAATCAAGAGCTTGGAAACAGATAAAACCATATATAAATGTATAATATATAACCATCATCACACAGAAGACATGTACAGAAAGATAGAAGATTCAATAAAGCTACTGAAACATTTGAAAAATCATACAGAAAAACTAAATTGGTTGTCTACCTTATAGCATATTCAAAAGCCAATTTCTGTTTCAACAAAGACCTGAATGGGAAAGGTAAAACTAAAAATATTTTAGAGGATTATATAAGATTTAGTCATGGCCTTTGAGTAAGAAAGGATTTCTTATACAAGATACAAATATAACTTACCATAATGGAAGAATTATCTTTACCAAATACCATAAGTGTGAAAACACAAGGAGAGAAAAGGTCAGATTAGAAATATCTTTTGACAAAGAACAAATGTCTTAAACAGGCACTTCACAGGGGAGAAATTCCATATGGCTAACTGCTGTATTTAAAAAGTTAGAGAAATTATTTACAGTTGGAGAAATACATATTAAATTACTTACAGTTAGAGAAGTTACTTACAGTTAGAGAAATACATATCAAATCACAGTAGGACATAAGTATATAATTATAAGCATTTAAAACTTAAAACATCTACCACTATTAATAGAATATATAATTCAGAGGAGTGTGTAAATTAGTATACTACTTTGGAGGAAATGTAATTATGAAAGTGCATGTAACTTAACCCATCAGTATGCTGTTAGTCATATGTCCTATAAAATCTTGTGCATAGGCCCAAAATAATATACATTTTAACATAACCAAACTAGACAGAAACAAAATGTTCAAAATAAGATGAAATAAATTGTTGTATAATCATGAAATTGGATGCTATACAGTAATAAAAATGAATAGCTTGGAATTACTTGCGACAACATTGAAAAAACCTCACAAACATTAATTTGAGTGACTAAAACTAGAAAAATCATCATAATTCATTTATTTAGAGTTAGAAAACAGACAAAAAGAAACCACATTAGCTAGGATAATAAATTCTAAATAAAATCAGAGAAATGGATATCACAACAATCCAGACAAGTAGTGAGACGGACTGAGGGGCTATTATAGCAAATGAAAAACAGCACAACTTCTTGAGTGCAGTCAATATATGTGTAAAGTCAGAGAGTTACATAAATATTCACTTCACGACACTTATTTAACTGCATAAACATATTTTATATTTTAATGTATGCCAATTTTATTATGCAATGAACATTTAAAAATTTTAAAGATAATTGACAGTGATTTTTGTGACAGAAAGGAGACCTATTTCCCAGTTTCCATCACCACTCTTGATATTGAAATGACAGATGAACAATAATTTTCAAATACAGGACTACACTATAAATAATGGGGTAATAAACTGGCCCATAGGTCAAATCCAGCTGATAGATTGTTTTTGAAAATGAAGTGGTATTGCAAAATAACCACACCCATCATTTGCATACTGTTTATGGCTGCTTTTACAACAGCAAGTAGTTGCAAGAGAGTATATAGAGCTTGGAGTCTAAAATATTTACTGTCTCCCCTTTGCCAAAAAATTTCCTGATTTGATTGTATTATAGGGTTAATTGGAATGATCAAAGCAATAGAAACAAAGGCTGGTACCACAGCTGAAAGAGTGAGCAGGTGAAGCTGTGGAAAGTAAGATGGATTCTGGATCAGAATCATACCTTAAGAATAGGTGGTTTAATGTCCTCTGGTCATTAGCATGAGAACACATTATTTACGACAATAGTCGCAAGCATCAGAACACATTGATGTGAGCATTTAAATGAAAGGAATAGAGCTAGAAATTTCCTCTGCAAGTTGCTAATAGAAACGAAAAAAAAAATCAATACCTGCTTCTGTCATGTCAGTGTTTGTTTCATCCCAGAATTTATATTTTGAAATCTAATCACCAATGTGATGGTTTTAGGAGGTGATACTTTAGAGAGATGATCAGGCCACAAGGCTGGAACCCTTATGAATGGGATTAGTGTCCTTATGAAAGAGATCTCAGAGAGTTGACCTGCTCCTTCTACTGTATGAGGGCACAGCATGAAGGAGCCATTTAAGAACCAGGAAATGAGCCTTCACCAGGCACTGAATCTGCCAGTGCCTCAATCTTGGACTTCCCAGCCTCTAGAACTATAAGAAATAAATCTCTGTTATTTGTAAGCTACCCAGTCTATGGTATTAATATTTTGTTACAGCAGCCCAAACAGACTAAGACACCTGCTGTACAGAGACCCTGGACAAAAGGATGCTACCCAATACTGACTGAGGCAGAAATAGCATCACATGCAGAAATGAAAACTCTAAACTATATCTCAGGCAGATGTGAAATGGATTCCAAGCAGCCCTATTATTATGGAACCCTGAGCTGATAAAGTGTAAACTTTTGACCCAGCTAATTGTCATGGCAGGAAACAAGCAAAAGCATCCATAAAACCACCCCTGAAGAGAGGCCTCCACAACACAAAAAAGATTAGAGGATGGTGGAAGATAAAGTTCACTCAAACGAGCTCATCAATGATAGTTCCAAACATATGGAAAAGTCCAAAGCTTGAAAATTGGGAGAAAT
The DNA here is from genome assembly GCF_000001405.40 of Homo sapiens. Classification (NCBI taxonomy): domain Eukaryota; kingdom Metazoa; phylum Chordata; class Mammalia; order Primates; family Hominidae; genus Homo; species Homo sapiens. The sequence continues at coordinate 39,831,518 of NC_000008.11, forward strand.
CATGTAGAAAAATAGCAATAATCAAGTAAATTATGAAACTTAAGAATAAAGAGGTTTTAACGTTGAAACAGATAAAAAACAGAGATAAAAAGCCATAAAAGATTTACAAAGCACAAATGTGTCACTTTGTACAGAAATCCTAACCATGAAAAATATAGTCATTGAAAAATATTCTTGAAGAGTAGATTAGACATACATAAAGAGTAAAATGGAAATCATCGAGAATAAAGCACGAAATCAGGAATAACAGGAAATGTGAATGAGTACATAGAAATATGTGATAGATAAGTGAGTCAAAAATTGCTAACTTGATTCACTAAAATTTATATTAAGAGGCCCCAATTTTAAATATACATTTAAAAGCATCCCAGGAAAGGTTAGCAGAGTGAGAAAAAGCAACAATTAAACTTAAAAATTGATAAGAATCTCCATGATTCATGCAAGGATGTTAATTCTCAAATTGAAAATTCAGAGTCCTTAGAGATATAAACAAAAAGAAATCAATGACTACCATGTCATAGACAAACTACAGCATCTTAAAAGATATCAGAAGTACTCATTGGCTTGGTGTTACTCTAAATATCCTACTAATCTGGATCTCTTCTCAGGTTTCTCAAGGACACCTTGTGCAATGTCATAAAATTGGTTCCTGGTGTCCTTATTTTGTATATTTGAAAGCCCTCAGAAATGGTCATGTTGCCAGGAAAATGCACAGTTTGGTGCTAGCTCTGCATACAGTCCAGGCCTCGTTGTCTTTTGAAAGTAAATATCGTTATCACCCTGAGTGTCTATAAACTGTTGGCCATGCCTGAAACTAACTAGTTACCAAGATAGCCTGGGTAGGGACTGACAGGGCTTGACATAGACCAATAACAATAGCCACTAAAGGCTTCAGTACTCCACCAGTGTGGACTACCCAACAACACTTTATGCTGTCCCATCCCATAATATTATACACTTTATTCTCATCTGATGCAGGTAAAATGTAAAAACAATGAAAGCTTTGAATTTTACTTTATTATACATTTGGTTATTCATTTCTAAAATGTTTGATTTGTAATATTCTATTTCTTACTACTTTATTGATATTTTACAATAACGTTTTGAATGTTTTTGAGCCAAGAGTTTTTTGGCAACTGCTCTTGAATTTACAAATATCTGGTGATTCTCTGATGAAGGCTTTGTAATTACATTCTAATTTTATTGTGCTAGTCACTGAGGATATGGTTACTATTCAAAAGATTTTTTTATTTTAGTATGTGATTTTTTTTCTTAAGTACCTTTTCACCGCTTGTGTGCAAGAAAATAACCACATTATATGTATGTAAGGTATATAGTATGTGATTCATCCATTACATCACCATAAATTGTACTGTATATTCTATACATTTTTTCTAATAGAAAAAAGCTTAAGAAATCTACTGTTATGCTTACATTTTAATTCAGATATTCTTATATGTCTAATCATACTTTACATATTTTGATCTATATTAAACATTTATAAATACTGTATCTGTGATGCAGAAAGTAATTTCAGAGGATGCTTTACTACTGGTCACTGACTTGCTCTCAGTCTCATAACTTGACATTCTAAAGTAACAACTGTTGGGATTCTATGTCAGTTTGCTCTATGTATTTCTTGCAGAAGGCAGCACTTTTTTTCTTCAGAAAAAAGTAATTTTGAGTCTTTTTTTAATGTTATTTCTTCAAACTAGTACCGTCCATCTTATAAATAGAAAACATTTTCCAAAATTTATGATGTATAAAAAGAGTGCAGCTATGAATTCTAGAAATGATATGGATGCGTTTTTGATTTTTGTATTGATTTGGTAATTTCATTTGCAGGCTTCTGCTTTTGATAATTTGTAGAAATCTGTTCTTATCACTAGAAGAATCATTTCAATTTTCACTTTTCTTTATTTCTTAGTATATTGTGCTTGTTTTCCCCAAATTCATCAACTGGCCTGAGATTGAATTTGGCTAATTACAAATTTTATTTAATTTTAACTTAAGTCCTTAATAAGTTTTGATAAAGTATGTAAACTAGTTTAAAATGTGTCATGATTCATGACATCCAGCAATCTGCTATGTTCTTTGAAATATACCTTGAATATAAAAGAACTTAAAAATAAGCCATATATATTTTTATGAGAGATAGAAAATTATCAAAATTCATCCTTTATGAAACCTCTTGGATCACCAAATAAAAATTTGGTGCTACTGGGAACAAGAAGGAGGGGCACATACACTCTGAATTCAAGTTCTAGGTATGTATCATATATAGGCTTAAATCATATGATAAGGGATGAATGAATGGCAAGAAGCTAGAAATATTTTCAAATACAAAATAATTACATTCTGGACAATTTCAAGCAAAAATTATAAGTAGAACAAAGAGAATTGATAAAATAATGATGATTACCTACTTTTGCATTAAATTCACAGTATATGGTTTCCCTTCAATTACAATTTTGTAGGATGCCTGGCAGGAGAGCACAGTAAAAATACAAAGAAAATGAAAAAAAATGTTAGAAGGGATAACCATCATTTTACATTAATGATAATTGCATTCTAAAACACATTCATTTAATAAAAGGAGAAAAAATAGAATTTAATGCTGATTTATTTTAATGGCATTTGACATTATAATTCTAGATTTCATAATCAAAATAATGAATAAAATAATATATATACTTTATTTGTTTATTTTGAAATGTGTATGTTGATTTTATGACCTGCAACTTTATTGAATTCTGTTTGATCTAAGAGATTTATGGTGGAGTCTGGGGTTTTCTATATATGGGATCATGTCATGTGCTAATAAAGATATTTGACTTCCTTCTGATTTTGGATGCTGTTTATATCTTTACCTCTGCCCTTGATAGTTAGTACTATCAGTACTATGTTGAGAGTGGGAATCCTTGTCTTGTACCACATCTTAAAGGAAAACCTCACGCCTATTATCCCAGCACTTTGGGAAGCCAAGGCAGGCGGATCATGAGGTCAAGATTTTGAGACCAGCCTGACCAACATGGTGAAACCCCATCTCTACTAAAAGATGCAAAAAATTAGCCGGGCATGGGGCGGTTGCCTGTAATCCCAGATACTGGGGAGGCCGAGACAGGAGAATCACTTGAACCTTGGGAGGCGGAGGTTGCAGTGAGCCAAGATCACACCATTGCCCTCCAGCCTGGGCGACAGGGCAAGACTCCATCAAAAAAAAAAAAAAAAAAAAAAAAAGGTTTTAGTCCCTTTCCACTAATTATGATGTTAACTAAGGGTTTTTCATAACTGGCCTTAATTATATTCAGGTACCTTCCTTCTATACCTAAACTGTTAAGAGTTTTTAACCAAGAAAGGATGTTAGACTTTGTGGAATGCTTTTTCTGGGTCTCCTGGTGTCTTCATATCCACATGTGTCTGTGCTCAGATTCCTTGTTCTTGCAAGGACACCAGTCATATGGTATTAGAGCTGTAACTTACTATTAATTACTATTCTAGTAAACTCATTTTAATTTAATTACGTCTTTATAGACTCTGCCTCCAAATATGCTTACGTTCTGAGGCACCAGGGGTTAGGACTTCAACAAATAAACTCTGCTTTGGATTTGGGACACCTGTTCTGAAGATTCGACTTTATAAAGCCATTTCTTATTAAAATATGTTTACTATTACCTCTTCTTCTTTTCTCCCCTATTTCAGGAATGCCAATCACTCTATGCTTAAGCTTCTAATTCTGTCCTTTTCTCTTAGCCTTTCACATGTTGCATTTCATCTTTTCAGCTGTCTCTGTTCTACTCTAAATTCCTGACTTTTATATTTTCATACTGCATTTCCCACTTTTAGAAGTTACATTCAATTATTTTTAAAAATCTAGTAATTTTAGGCCATGTGCGGTGGCTCACGCCTGTAATCCCAGAACTTTGGGAGGCCGAGGCAGGTGGATCAGGAGGTCAGGAGATCGAGACCATCCTGACCAACGGTGAAACCCCGTCTCTACTAAAAATACAAAAAAACTAGCTGGGCTTGGTGGCAGGTGCCTGTAGTCCCAGCTACTCAGGAGGCTGAGGCAGGAGAATGCTGTGAACCTGGGAGGCGGAGCTTGCAGTGAGCCGAGGTTGCGCCACTGCACTCCAGCCTGGGCAACAAGCAAGACTCCGTCTCAAAAAAAAAAAAAAATCTAGTAATTTTAGGTTGAATAATCTTATGGTTTCTAGCCTTTATTAACTGTAATAATTCAAAATATATAGTTTCATATTATGTTTATAGTATTTGTTGAATTAATTAGCATAATAGCCTAGTTTGTTTTAAAAATACTGTTAATTCATTACAGTATTTTAAAAATAAACTAGGCTATTATGCTAATTGTGTATTTAACTCCCTTTAACTCCTTAACTCCCATTAACTCCCTAAGCAACTGACGGTCAACAATTATCCCTTGCACTATTTTTTTGTTGGTGGTGGTGCTTTGTTTTGGTTTTGGTAACCACAAAATCAAAAAGGAACTTTTTGATGACCAGCTATTCCAAGTTTCTCATTTACAAATGAGAAAATAATGAGCCTGATTAGTGCACAAAAGCATAAATACACATAGCATTTGTATCTGACACTGTTCTAGGCAAGAAGAATACAGACATTAACAAAATAGACAATTTTTTCCTCATGAATTTGACAGTTGAAAATGGGCATTTTTTTTTACTTATTGCAAATAACTATCTTATAACAATCAAGTTATTCTTGTTTGAAATACTTCTCTCCAAATAGATTCTCTGCTTATTTTCTACTATTATTAACATCTCCATAATAATTTTACATTAAAAATGTTTCATAAAATATTGTTAAAAGCCTCACTGCTTTTTTCTATTTAAATGATTTGTTTTAGTAATAGATATATAGATATGCATTCCTTTAAAAATGATTTAAATAACATCTTAAGCTATAATGTCTGTATTAGGATGACAAATGGATATATGCTAAGGAAATGTTTGCATTTAAATTACCAGAACATCTGCTACCAAACCAAAAAAAAAAAATTGATGTCTCAAGAAACCACATTCCACTTCAGAAATGGATTCTAGAACTTAGTGAAAATGATAAGAAGATTTTAAATTCAAATTTTAAAAAGAGAGTAATAATTCTGAACTAAAATAATCTAAAATAGCATGAAAGAAAGAGTTCTAATCATTAACATATTCGCAATCAGGGCTAAAAAAATCATTAATATAACACATCATTAATTCAAGTGATCATCATCCCATATAAGCAAGCCAAGGCTTACTTAGCAACAATGACAAAAAATTCCTCCAAATACAGCCTGAACGGTGAGTGAGAACAGAATCTCTAGAACAATCAAGCCAATGATTATTCAAAGACATCCAAGAGGAAGACAGATTCAGAAAATGGACTTGGGGCTTTGATAACCAGCATCACTGCACCATTATTTCTGTGAAACATTGTTGATCCTGGTTCATTTTCAAAAGGGCTTTTCCATTCAGGGAAAATTTGGTATAAATATAAAATTCAACAGGTGTGCATGAATGAAAAATGGCAGATTAACTTCTTAGAAACAAAATCTTTACATCATTTTAAATTTGTAAATACTGTTAGTGATTCATTACCTGCGATTCAATTCCTTCCTTTATTATTGACCGTATTTTCTCCGGAACTGTAATTTGCACAGGTAAACTATCAAAATCTGCAAAATGTGCAAAATGTTTTATTAGAACAATGCCCATCATTTCAGAGCGTGTTTTATGAGTTTTTCATCTAAATCTCTAATCTCTATTCTATACGCTGCTTCTCATTTTTATTATCTTCCCATTTCTTTCTAAAAATACAAGGAGGTTTTTTTTTCTGTTTTTCTGTTTTTTTTTTTGTTTTTGAGACGAAGTCTCACTCTGTCGCCCAGGCCCAGGCTGGAGTGCAGTGGTGAGATCTCTGCTCACTGCAACCTCCGCCTCCCGGTTTCAAGCGATTCCCCTGCCTCAGCCTCCCCAGCAGCTGGGACTACAGGCACGCACTACCACCCCCAGCTAATTTTCTATATTTTTAGTAGAGGGGGATTTCACCATGTTGGCCGGGATGGTCTCGATCTCCTGACCTCGTGATACGCCTTCCTCAGCCTCCCAAAGTGCTGGGATTACAGGCATGAGCCACCGTGCCCGGCCATATTTTTTTAAAAAAGAAGTAGGTGTATTGCTTTAGGAGTATTGCCCTGTAGGTAGGATCTGGTAACCTTGGGTCAATAGGTTCAAGCCCCTCAGGACAAATTAACTCACTCTGGACTCTTCAACTAGAGAGTACAGAAGTTGGGTCTCAACTTTCACTGTCGTGAAAAATGCAAAGCAGGATCTGAAACTACAATTTTGAAGCAACCTCTTAAGGCCTAGGACCTCCTATCTTATCTTTCCTAGGTTTCCAGGACGTGTGGGAAAGCCCTTATTCTACGTGGATTTTGGGTGGGGAAGGCGGCAATGTCGGGGATGAGCTTGGAATTGCTGAGTTGGAAACCCCTCAGGAAAGCATCCTCCCAGGGATGTCAATGTAACTTGGAGGCAAAGGGAGAGTAGCGCTGAGGGTCCCAAAAGGCCAGAGGAGGGGTTTTTCTGCTTACTACTGTCCATCCGCAGCCCGCCGAGCCCGCTGAGCAGAAACAAGACGCGCCACATGGCTTGAAGTCCTGGGTCCCAGCCGGAATAATGGCAGTTGGTGGTTACAGGGCAGTTGGAAGCGCGAGATGACGCCCCGGCCACGCAGCCTGGAAGAGGTAGGCGGCTGGGAGAGCCCAGGTGGGCTGAGGTTGGGTGTGGTGCGCTGTGGAACGTGCGAGCTCCTGAGCCCTGTCTCTTGCAGGACAAGCACTCCACTGGACGTGATGCCTAATTAAGGCAACAGCAACAACAAAATCACTTCCAACAGCTGAGGAACAGGAAGATTTATAAACACTTCTTAAGTAAAATTTCAATTGAATATATATAAACACGTATCAGGAGTTCGAGACCAGTTTCCGCAACATGGTGAAACCCCGTCTGTACTAAAAATACAAAAAAAAATTAGCCAGGCATGGTGGCGGGTGCCTGAAATCCCAGCTACTCGGGAAGCTGAGGCAGGAGAATCGCTTGAACCTAGGAGGCAGAGGTTGCAGTGAGCAGAAAGACCTTACCACTGCACTCCAGCCTGGGTGAGAGAGCGAAATTCCGTCAAAAAAAAAAAAAAAAAAAAAAAAAAGAACGAAACAAAAAACGAAAAAAAGTATATAATAAATCATAAGTTCACAGGTCAATTAATATTCAAGTGGAAAAAAAAAACAGCGTAACTAGTACCACGATGAAGAAATGAAAAAGAACCACCCAAATCCCCAGATTCCAACCTCACAACCATGACTTCTAAACAACCAAAGATTCGTTTTGTCTGTTTTTGAACTTTTCGCAAGTAGAAGCAATCACCATCTACTCTTTCATGTCTGGGTTCTTTTAATAGGATGATTGTAAGGTTCATACAAAGCAATAGTTCTGTTTTATCCTCATTGGTGTATATTACAAATTCATTAAATATAACACCACTTGTGTTTCCATTTTACTGTTAATGAATATTTTGTTTGTTTATTGTTCCAGCTATTAAAAATAATATTTAGCTATAAACATTCTTCTACATGCCTTTTGGTGTAATAAGTAAGGATTTCTACTGTGTATATTTCTAGAGTGAAGTTGTCGGATCACAGGGTATGTGTTGGTAGATACTTCCGACAAGTTTTCCAAGACTGTACTAATTTATACTCTCACCAGAAGTATATGAAAATTCCACTTCGTACACATCAATGCCTTGTTGTGTTGTTGTGTTGTCTGTAATGTTCCTTCATTGTAATGAACTTACCAACTTTTATATCAAGACATGCTGCCCTCATAAAAGAAATTAAGAAATGTTATCTCTTCGTTTAATCTTTGAAATAGTGTAATGCTGTGAATATTTATTCTTTTAATGTTTCTTAGCATTTAGAAATGGAGTGATTATGACCTGGAGTTTTCTTCATGAGAAGATTTATTTACTTTTTTATCTAATTTCTTTAAAATATTCATATTTTTTTCTTTTCGTGTTGGTTTGAGAAAGTTATGTTTCTGAAGGAATTTGTCCATTTCTTTGGGGTTGTTAAATTATTGACAAAAGTTGTTCATAATGACTTCCTCTCCTCTAGCAACTTTTTAAGGTCTATAGCACCTGCAGACATATCTCTTCTTCCATTCTCAATGTTGATAATTTGTGATGTTTCTCTTTATACTGGGTAAATAGGTCTTGGAATGTATAATTTTTATTAAGTTTTACAGGAACTCGGTTTTGGATTTCTTTATTTTTTTCTGTTGTATGTTTTCTGCTTTGTTGATTTTGTTCTTGGGTTCTTTTCCTTTTTTCTACTTTGGGCATAATGTTCCTTTTCTAGCTTCTAAGATTGGAAGTTTATATTATTTATTTTAAACATTTCTTCTTTTAACCTATGCCTTTAAACTACAAATTTCCATGTATTTCCAAATTTCTATCTATTCATTGCTTTAACTTCACCATTGTATTCTTATACTTTATTTTGATATACTTTACTTTCATTAATATTCAATTCTAAATGTTTTCTAATTTTCATCATGATTTCTTTTTGCCCCACATGTTTATTGGTGTTATTTAAATGCCACATATTTAAGCATGTATTAATTACTTTTTTATTGATGTCTAACTCAATTCCATTGTGATCATAGATTGTATTTTGAATAATTTCAAGTCATTGCAATTCACTAAGAGAAAATTCATTGCCCATTATATGGTTCATTACATTGAATGTTTCGAACTTTAAAAGAATGCAAACTTTAAAAGAATGCAGACTATTTAGCTGTGGATTATATTATTCTTTAAATGTCAACTAGATCAAGTTGGATAATACATTTTCAAATATTTTATATCCTTATTAATTCTTGTTCTTTTATTATGTCCAACTAAGAATACTTTTCTATTTTTCCTTTGTGTTTTATCAATTTTTAATTATCATATTTTGAAGATAAGTTATTTTTTTAAAACTCATTTAGGGAGGTTTTGTCTTCCTGATGAAGTGAACTTATGTCATTATAATGTCACTCTTTGCCCATACTGGCTTTTTGCCATTAAGCTTATTTTATCTATCACTTCCATAGCCAGATTTTTAAAAAAATAATTAGAATCTGCTTGGGATATTTTAAAAAAATATTTCACTTTAAAGGCATATCCTTAAAGTTTGTGTGTGTGTGTTTGTGTATAAATAACATACAGATTTTTAAATTCAGTATGATGAACCTGACTTTAATTGAAGTATTAGGTCCATTTCCTTACAGTAATTACAGACATGTTAAGTTTATGTCTCTCACCTGCTAGCAGTTTTCTATTGTTTTCCTACTAGTTGTCTGGTCTTTTATTTTTACTTTCTTACCTCTTTTGGATAATGGAAGCTGCTTTAAATTTAATTTCACCTGGTCTCGTTAATTTTTGAATATACTATTTGTTCTTTTGGGGGTTTTTAATGTTTAGAGATTATATTATATATCTTCAACATATTGCATTCCACATACCCATAATAAACAAAGTAAGAATATTGCAATAAGATAATTCAATTTAATTTAATTTAATTTTTATAGCCACATATTTTACATATATACATATATGTATAATTAATAGGCTTTTTTAGGGCTGTTCTAGGTTCAGAAAAATACCCAGTGGAAAACTGGGGTTAAGGTCACATATCCTTAACCCCACATGCACAGCATCTCCCACTGTCAACATCCTATATCAGTAAGGTACATTTGTTAAAATCCGTGAACATTGTACACATGGATACATCCTTAACAACCAAATCCATAGCTTACATTAGGGGTGACTCTTTGTGTTGTGCATTCTATGAGTTTTGACAAGTGTAATGATGTGCATCTATCATTATAGTGCCAATCAAAATTGTTTTCTTGCTGTGCTCCAATTATGCATCCCTCTCTTCTCTCTGAGCACTGATTTTTTTTACTGTTTCCATAATTTAGCCTCTTTCAGAATGTAATAATGGAATCACCAGTAGTATAGCCTTTTCATTTTGGCTCCTTTCACTTAGAAATTTAAGGTTCCTGGCCAGGTGCAGTGGCTCACACCTGTAATCCCAGCACTTTGGGAGGCTGAGGTGGGAGGATCACCTGAGGTCAGGAGTTTGAGACTAGCCTGGTCAAAATGGTGAAACCCCATCTCTACTAAAAATACAAAAATTAGCCAGGAGTGGTGGTGGGCACCTGAAATCCCAGCTACTTGGGAGGCTGAGGCAGGAGAATCACTTGAACCTGGGAGGCAGAGGTTGCAGTGAGCCAAGATCATGCCAACACTCCAGCCTGGGCAACAGAATGAGACTACATTTCAAAAAAACAAAAAAGAAAAGAAATTTAAGGTTCTTTCACTTTTTTTCATGACTTGATAGCCCATTTCCTTTTAGTGTTGAATATTTCATTGTATGGGATTTATTACTGTATCTACATCTCTATCACAAAATGTTACGTTGCTATTTTATTTACTTAATTTCAGTATCAATTTTTACAGGTCTTATATTTACACAGAGAAATTCTCTCTGCTCTTAGCTTATAAAAATTGTTTTTAATATTGTCTTCATTTCTGAAGTGCATTCCTGATGGCTATAACATTCTACATTAACAGGTATTTTTTTCCTGGTATCTTAAGCATTTCATCCCAGTGATTTTGCCTTCCGTTGCTTCTAATGAGAACTAGATTTTGCCTTCTGTTACTTCTAACATCACTCTTCATGTTGTTCCCCCCCAAATTTTTTCTGGGCTTGTTTTAAATAATTTCTCTTTATCTTTAGTTATCAACAGTTTGATTGTGATATGCCTAGATGTGCAATTCCTTTATATTGGTTATCTCAGAATGTGAAGTGTTTTCTGGGTTTGTGAATTTATATCTTTTATCCATTTTTAAAACTCTCAAATATTTTCTCTTTATATATTTCCCTATCTTATTTTCTCTTCTCCTCATATTGTGAGTCTGGTTATATTAGATTAGGTCATTTTATAGTTTCCCAGGATCTGAAATTCTCCTCTGCTTTTTAAATTATTTTCTTTCTATGTTTTAGTTTGAAAAATTATAGTGATAGTCTCTGCATTAGGAAAATATAATCTTCCAGTTGGTCCTCAGCTTATGATTGTGAATGTGTTATCAAATCTAGCATAATGATGGTTCAAGAAAGTATTATGGGTATGCTCATAAAGCACAGAAATAGAGAGGGGAAAGAGCTTATTTAGATAAATAATGACAAATACTTCCCAAATTTGGAGAAAGATGTAAATCAAAGTAGATGAAACTCGAGATTATCCAATCAAATCCAATCCAAACAATACTAAATCAAGACTTATTATAATCAAACTGTCAAAAATTAAAGAGAAGATCCAAAAAGTAGCAAGAGAAAGGAAGCACATCACACACAAAAGAAATCCACGTTGCCTATCAGATTTCTCAGCAGCAGGCCAGGAAAATAATGAGATGATGTGTTCAGAGCACTGCCAGAAAGAAAAAAAACAATAAACAAAACCTGTCAACCAGGAATACTTCACTAGGCAAAGCTATACTTCAGAAATAAAGAAGAGATAAAGACTTTACCATACAAGCAAACCTGAATGAGTTTATCACCACTAGCCCAACCTTGTAAGAAATACTAAAGGAAATTCCTCAGGATGAAAAAATAAAGATGCTAATTAGTAACATAAAAATACAGAGAAGTATAAAACTCACTGACAAGAGTAAGTACGCAGTCAAATTAGGAATACTGGAATACAGCGATGGTGGTGTGCAAATTATGTATCTCTTTATTAAGAAGGTTAAAAGAGAAAACCTACAAAAAAATAATAGCTATAATAATTTGTTAAGAGGAACACAATATAAAAGAATGTAAACTGTGGCATCAAAAACATATGTAGGGGGAATAAAAAGGTAGGGTTTTAATGCAATCAAAGTTAAGTTGTTACCAGCTTAAAATAGGCTATTATAACTAGATGATGTTTTATGTAAGCCTCACGGTAACCACAAATCAAAAACCAAGAGTGGATACACAAAATGTTAAAAAGTAAGACATTAAAGCATATCTGTTTTAATCCTTTTTCTGTTGCTGTAACAGAATACCATAGACTGGGTAATGAATAAGAGAGGTTTATTGAACTCATGGTGCTGGAGGCTTGAGAAGTCCTAGAATATGATGCTGGCATCTGGTGAGGTCCTTTCTGTGCATCATGACGTGGCAGGAGGCATCACATTGAGAGACAGAGCAAGCACACTAGTTCAGGTCTCTGCTTCTTCTTATAAAGCCACTAATACTGTCATGGAGAATCCATCCTGATGACCTCACCTAATCCTAATTACCATCCAAAGGCATGACCTCCAAAAACCATCAACATATAAATTTTGGAATTTCATTCCCAAAACAGGAAATTTGGGGAACACATTCAAACTATAACAATATTATGACAGAAAACATAATCACAAAGGGAGATGGTGAGAGAGGAAGAAAGAAAGAATCTACATTTAAAAAATACAGAAAACAATTAGCAAAGCAGAAATATATAAAGAGTTGTTACAAGTCAACAAAAAAGAAAAATAAGCCTACAAAAATGGGTAAAGTACTTCAACACATATTTCTCCAAAGGTGGTATAATATCAATGACTAATGACCCCATGAAAAGATGCTCAAGATCATTACTAATTAGATCATTAGTCATTAGGCATTAGAGAAACAAAATCCAAAACCGTAATGAGATATTGCTTCACAAGCACTATAAATAATCAATAAAATGGAAAATAAGTATTGGCAAGGATTAGAAGAATCCGAACTCTTCAAACACTGATGATGGGAATGTTAAATGGCACAGTTCCTTTGGAAATTAGTCTGGAAGTTCCTCAAAAAGATGAAAAATAGTTTGTCATATTGCCCCAAAATTCCACTCCTAGATATATACCCAAGAGAAATGACAACATATGTTCATTTAAGAACTTGAACACAAATGTTTACAGCATGATTATTCATAATATCCAAAAGGTGGAAACAGCTCAAATGTCCATCAACTGCTGAACAGATTAATATAATGTTGCTTGTTCATTCAATAGGATTTCAGTCAATAAAATGGAATGAATTACTAATAATGCTAAACCTGGATAGATCTTATAAACATCATGTTACATAATTTCATTCATAAGGGAAAGTCCTTCCTAAAAGGCCCTGCCTCTTAATACTATCACACTGGGGATTAAGTTTCAACATATTAATTGTGAGGAGACACAAGCATTCAGATAATTGCATTGGTGTTTGGTGTAGCTGTTTCTTCTTTTTTTCTTTGCTTTTTCTCTTTCTCTTTTTTTTTTTTTTTTGACAATTTGCATGAAATAATCTTTTTCCATTCTTTTACTTTCAACCTATTTGTGTCTGAATTTAAATTCTATTTCTTATAGAGAGCATATAGCTGGATTTTATTTATTTATTTTTCTAATCTCTTCCTCTTGATTGGTGAGTTCAAATTACTGATTGACATATAACACAATTGCTGATGAGGTAAGATTTAACTCTATCATTTTGCTTTTTTTTTGGTATGTGTTTAAGATATTTTCCTTCTATTCATTTATAACTCTTTTTTTTTGGTCAAATAGATATTTTCTAGTACACCATAATAATTCCCTCATTACTTCTTTTAACATATATTTTTGAATATTTTTGTAATAGGTCCCCTGAGAATTAAAATTAACACATTAATTTATAACAATATAGTTCAGATTAATACCAACTTAATTTCAGTTGTATACAACAATTTTGCTCTTATAGAGCCCTATTTCTCTCTCCTCCTCTCCTTTGGATTTTATTGCCAAATAAAATACATATTTATACACCACCCAAAATATATTTATAATCAATGCTTTTGAAATTGTCTTTTAAATCAGATAAAATAAAAAGCATTACAAACAAAAATGTATTTATACTATAAATTGCATTACCTACACATTTACCATTATCTCCTGTCTTTATTTCTTCATGTGGATTTTAGTTACTCTCAAGTATCCTTTCATTTCAACTTGAAGGACTTTCTTTAGTATACCTTATAGGGTAAGTCTGCAAGACACAAATTTCTTTTTTGTTGTTTATATGAAGATATCATTATTATCATTTTTGAAGGAAAGTTTTGCAAGATGTTGAATTTTTGGTTGACATAGTTTATTTTTCAGCACTTTGAGTATGGCACCCAATTATCTCTAGATTCCATGGTATACGATTAAATCATCTTTGAATCTTACTGAGGATCTTCTACAAATAATGAGTTGCTTCCTTCTTGCTACTTTCAAGATTATGTATCTCTGGCTTTTGACAGTTTCATTACTATGCGTTAGGTATGGATGACTTGATTTTATCCTTCTTAGAGTTATTTGAGCCTCTTAAGTGTGTAGATTATTGTTTTTCATCAAATGTGGACGTTTTCAGACCTTATTTCTTCAAATATTCTTTATGCCTTTTTATCTCCTCCCTTTCTTTTGGGACTCCCATTGTATGTTTGTAAGTCTGATTGTGTGTCACAGGTCTGTGAAATTGTCATTTTTTCCATTCCTCACCTAAATTTCTTCAACTGATGTCTCTTTAAATTCTTTCTTTGCTTTGAAACAAAAGCAACAAATACTGCATATTCTCTTACAGTTGGGAGCTAAATATTGGGTACACAGGGACATAAAGATAGGAACAACAGGCCCCAGGGAATGCAAGAATGGGAAGGGAGGAAGGGAGGGAGACCAGGGTTGAAAAACTACCTATTGGATAATATGCCCACTTCATGATTGACAGGTTCAATCATACTCCAAACCCCAACACTGTGCAATATACCTTTGGAACTAACTTACACATGTGCCCCCAAGATCTACAATAAAAGTTCATTTAAAAAAAGAAATGGGGAAGCATATTTTTATTTAAATAAATAAATACATTCACTGCTTCTCTTCTGCCTGCTCAAAGCTGTTGTGGAGCCTTTCTAGTTAATTTTTTCTTTGAGTTATTATACTTTTTAGCCCCAGAATTTCTTTTTTGATTATTTTTTATAATGTCTATTCTTTTCTTGATATTCTCTATTTGGTAAGTCATCATTTTCATACTTTCTTTTAATTATTTAGACATGGTTTGTTTAGGTCTTTGAATATATTTAAAATCGATTTCATGTCTTTGTCTAGCAAGATCAACATTTAGGATTCCTAGGGGAAAGTTTCTATTGCTTGTTTCTTTCTTGTGTATGGACCATAATTTTTCTGTATGTCTCATAAATTTTGCTGAAAATAGAACATTCCAAATGATATCATACAGCAACTCTGGAAGTCAGATTCTTCCTTCCTCTTAAGGATTACTATGACTTCTGCTTGTTATTAATAGTTGTTTGTTTAGAAGCTTTCCTCAAATCATTCTGCAAAGTCTGTATCCATTGTTGTGTGCAGTCACTGAAGTCTCTACTCAGATTCGTGGTCAGCTAATAATTAGACAGAGCTTATTTTAAATGTCTGGTGCCAACAAGCCTCCCAATGGGCTCTGTGTGCCTACTCTGTCATATCTTCAACATTGAACCAAACAGTTGAAAATCTTCTTAGCCTTCACCACTTGCTTGCTCAGAGCTTCAAGGTCAGCCAGAGATAAGAGTTTAGGGCCTTCTCTTGGTCTCAGGTATCTTCTGTGCGTGTGGACAGCTCTACACATCCTTGTTGCCTTTCAGAGTTTAGGTTTTCAAAGCTTCTATGAATATCTCACTCCCCAGTGCCTTGTGTTAAATATTTTGGTCTGGCTGTTGTTTGTTCAAACTGTTATCCATTGCCTCAGGCAGCTGAAAATTTAAAACACCTGCCTGTAAATTGTTTTTTACAAAGGATCCTGAGAAGAAAAGCTTTTTGTATACACATTCTAGTTCTGAGTCAATCTAATACAAGCATTCTTGCAAGTGGAGTCTTCTGGAGAATGACCAATCAGGTCAAATTAATGTCAGTTCTTTTAGGGTGAGGCTTTCAAAGAGTTCCATACTTGTGCTTCCTCCAATGCTTACCAGGCTGCACTAGAAATGCAGGCTGTTATTTTTCAAGGACATTGTAGATCTGGAGAGTGATAGATAGGCTAGGACAAATTAAAATACCACAAAGTTTACTGTCCTTACTGAGATTTAGCTGTTTGTCTTGAATAAATGTTATCTGGGTGGCTGCAAGCCTTTGAATTTCCAGAGTTATGAAAAAGTTGATTCTGAGAAATTTTGACATTTGCTTATTGCTTATGGAGAAGAGAATTTTCAAAGATTAATATACCGCCACTTCTGAAGATACCCTATAGTCATGTAGAACTATTTTTTAAACTCTGTATAGATCAAGGCACATAACAAAGCTGTTCTGTTATTTTCACCATTATTGAAAGTTATGTTTTATGCACAATTCAATGTGAATAAATATGAATCTGTATTTTTTGCCTTTCCTTTCTTAGACATATAGTCTTCTTTGTCTGGAGTAAGAAATTTAAATGTACTTTTGTATTTACCTCAAAAACTCAAGCTCTAATGAATCATATATCACTATCATGAATAGTAATAGGTCTCTAACCCAATAGTTTAAGGAAAACATAGATTTATTAACATTTATTGAGAAGTGCAAACAACTCAAAAGTTTGGGCAGACCAATTATTATGCAATTTACCTGACTCTAATTCTTTAAGAGTTTCCCCATCGATTACTGAATACCTGTTGTGTCTTTTTCCTTCAATTACCCTGGAGGAACCATGTATGAATAAGTGTCGTCCTGTTTTGAAGGGGGTCTCCCCTAGGTCTGGTCTGACCTTTGGTAGTCAATTAAATTTAGACATAAGTGCTCCTTCTTTAGATTTGGATCTCCTGTTAAGAAACCTGCTGGGTTGAGTGAATTA
Organism: Homo sapiens; assembly: GCF_000001405.40. Classification (NCBI taxonomy): domain Eukaryota; kingdom Metazoa; phylum Chordata; class Mammalia; order Primates; family Hominidae; genus Homo; species Homo sapiens. The sequence goes on from NC_000008.11 coordinate 39,848,475, forward strand.
TTAGTAGTTAAAGTTAAATCATCTTTTTCTAGCAAAATAGCCTTGTATTTCAGGATTCTGGAGTCAGCAAGCCACCTCCCAGCTTTTTGATTTAGTATTGCTTTAACTTGGTGGGGTGTGCTTACAGTTCCCTTAAAAGTTAACTTTCTGCTTTCTTCAACTAATATTGCCATAGTGGCAACAGATTGAATGCGTTGAGGCCACTCACAGGTAATAGGGTCTAAAACATTTGATAAGAAGGCCACAGGCTGCTGGTGGCCACTGAGTTCTTGGGTAAGCATTCCTATAGCCACTCCATTATTTACATCGACAAAAAGATGAAAGAGCTTTTCTAGAGAAGGCAAAGCTAAAACTGGGGCAGTCATAAGTCTTTCTTTCAGTTCCTCAATTTGGTCGACTTCCTCAGAAGTTCACAAGAGATGGTCAGAATTTTCTTGAGTAAGCTTCTGGTATAGCAGCTTACTGTGTAAGGTATATGAGTCAATCCATAAGCAGCAGTATCCAACTAATCCTAGAAACTTTCTGAGCTCATGCTTAGTTTGAGGCAAGGGTAAAGACACGATGCCTTCAACTCGCTCCAGCCCTATTCTCCACTTGCCTGCACTTATTAAATGGCCTAAATATTTGACCTCAGGTTCTACATACTGAAGCTTTTTCTTTGAGACTCATAACCTCTCAGAATGTAGATGATCAAGGGTACATATGGAAAAACTGGTTACTTTTTCTACATCCTCTCCTGATATGAGTATATTATCAACATACTGGAGCATGCATATGTGATTTGGAACAGAAACCTTTTCTAGCATTTATTCTAGACTCTGACTAAACAGGTTGGGTGTGTCTGTGAACCCTTGGGGCAAAACTGTTCACTGATACTGTTGTTTTCACCCTTACTGGAGGTCTTCCCACTCAAAGGCGAATATGTCTTGGCTATTTTCAGCTAGGGGTCATGCCCAAAAAGCATCTTTTAAGTCTATTACAGTAAACCATTGATGATTATATGGAATTTTACTGAGAATAAGTGTAAGGGTTAGGGACAACGGGGTGAGTGGTTTGGACTATTTGGTTGGCAGTTCTAAGATTTTGTACTAACAGGTATGATCTGTCTGATTTCTTGATGGGCAGTATTGGGGTGTTATAAGGAGACATACAAGGCTCAAGAAGCCCATTTTTTATGAGACTTTCAATTATGGGCTTTAACCTGATCCGTCCTTCTAAAGGGACAGGGTATTTCTTCCTCCTCACCACTTCCTCTGGGGTTTTTAGCTTGATGTGGATTGGGGGAATGTGAAGTTTTCCTTGGTTTCCTTCTCTGGACCAGACATTGGGGTGAATACATTTCTCATTTGCGGTGGTGACTAAATTTAATGAGGTAAGGAATCCTTTTGGACTAACTTGTAAGCCTATACCTAACTTCAACATTAAGCCTCTTCCTAATAAGTTAGTTCCTGCCTCTGGGGTCAATAAAAATTGGATATGAGTCAATCGTTCTTGGTATTGAACTTCTGTACTTTCTGAGACTTTTGCTTTAAATCCTTCCCTTTTACCCCAGAGACTAAAAGGTCTTCTGAAGAGCAGGCAATGTTAGATGAAGGGAAACAAAGGGAGGAGCAAGTGGCCCCTGAATTAACTAGAAAGGTGATAAGTTCATGATTGGGTCCAACATCTAAATTTATCAAGGGCTCCTGGTGGGACTTGAAGTAAGAGAGAGTCCCTGACCCCCCTCAAAGGTCATGAGGGGCAGGGCTTCTCTCTCTCTTTCTAATTCAGGACATTCTCTTTTGAAGTGGCCTGCCTTTCCACATCTGTAACAGCTATCTTGTCCTTATTCCCTCTCAGCTCTCGGATTTTGTGTCTTTGTTCCCCTATACTCTTTAGAGACTCTGGTAGATGAGGGCCTGCGTCCTCTGGATGGAGGCTTGGGTCTTTTCAACAGCAGTCTGGACCCTTTGTAGTTTTTGGCCCCCTGGAGGCTTTGTTTAGAAGTATGTGGATTTGGGGCCACCTGCTAGAAAGTGGATAGCATAAGTTTTGCCTTTTTTTTCCTGTTTCTTTTTATGTCTTCTAACATATACTTTTTGAGCTTCTCTGAGAAATTCACTCAGAGGTTGGTCTTCTCGATTTTTTAATTTTTGTAACGTTTTTGAGATATTTAACCAACTCTTAATGATGAAGTAGAGTTTTAACAGTCCTTGTCCAAGGGGGTCTTCTAAGTTTAGGGCTGAATATTGTTTCATTTGGTCCTTCAGTCTGTCTAGAAATTTCATAAACCCCTCATCTCTTTCTTGTTGTATATCAAGTGCTTTGGAAAGGTTGTGGGTTCAGGGTACTGATTCCCTAATTCACTTTATTATCATTTCCCTTAGGTCTTGCATATTTTCTTGGTGAGCTGGGTTATTATTGTCCCACTGGGGGTCTCGGCCAGGAAACTTTTGATCCGCGGTAGGAACGTCTTGATCGGGAGCGTGTTCACGCTCCCAAATTGCCATAGCAGCCCTACAGATCATCTCTCTCTCTTCACCAGAGAAGAGTATGCCTAGAATGGACACCAACTCGACCCAGGTGTAAAAGTGTGGTCCCAGGAATTGATTAACTTGATCTGCACCCCATAAGGGTCACATAAGAATGGCCTGAGTTCCTTCCTTAAATTCTGGACTTCTGAACTAGTTAAGGGAACACTTACAAAGCCAATAGCCCCCACACTTTGTGGTACTTCTTTCAAGGGGAAGAGAGTCAGAGCTGACTCCTTAGATGTGGAGGGAAATGGGAAATTTTGGATATCTCTTTTAGATTGTTCTACTTCACGTTGGAGTCCCTTCAGGGAGGCGCACTTAGGCTGAGAGGGAACAGATTCATGGGTGATGATTCCCAGGAATCAGGATTGTAAGGAGGAGAAATAACGTGGGCAGGGGAAGAATCTGGGGCAGGATCTGGGGTGGCAGCTGCCTGAGGGGAAGTATTGGGGGCACTGAGTGGGGGAAGGTGGTATGGGGATCCCATGCACAGGAGTCCTTTGGCATGGGAACCAGCTTTTCTGAGTCTTCATTGTGGGGTGCTAGATTGGGTGTTTCCCTAGTTTTTTTAAGGGATTGAGGAGGACAGGTCTCTGTCTCCAACAAAGAGCATAGTCTAGCTCCTCTTGAGACACTGGATTGTTTTCATTTACATGTCGAATTAGGAGTTGACACATTACATCCTCATTCGACCCAAATTTTGGCCAGAAGATTGAGGGTTTAAGGAGGGGACTCTGGGTCCAAACAAAACAGCAATATTTTATCATTTGTTGCTTGTTCTTATGTTTAGTTCTCTCATTATTTTTCCAATATTTTAACATGAGACCTAGGGGACAATTTGGGGGAATATCTTTATTGCTATTTTTATCCTTTTTACTTTCCATTGTGCTTGGGGTATTTCCCATGTTGGGTCCTAGTTAGGCTCAATTTTTGTATTAGAAATCTCTTGCCTATCCTTCCCTGGAGGCTTATTAAGGCTCATTTCCCTTGTATGAGGAATGTTTTGCCTATCCTTCCATGGAGGCTTATTAAGGCTCAATTCCCTTGCATGAGGAATCTCTTGCCTATCCTTTAGTCCCACCTGCTGGAGATTTCTGGCACCTTTCTCTTGCTTCGTCTGCTCTGGCCGCTTCCCTTGCAGGAGTATTTCAGGTCCCTCTTAGCATTGATGGCAGCTCAGTATAAACCCCTGATGGGACCCCCAAAGGGCCGCCCTAAGCCATATGAGGTGACCACAGAACTGCATATTGGACTCACTCACTCCTCACAACAGTAGTGCTTGTTACCATTCACACCATTTTAACCTCCAGACTCCCGACCACCAAGGAAATATTTTGTCGCCCCTGCGACTTTTCTTACCTTGGTCTGTGTAGAGTTTACCTAGTCGCTGTGGTATGTGAGCCCCCTTTTCCCAAGCTGCCCGTTTGTTCCTTTCCTGCATTGCTGAGAGTCTGGGTTTATTCATCATACTTGGTGGGTCTCGATTCCTCACCTTGAGGCTACCGCAACAAGGTGACTGGGCGCGCCTCCACACGGGAAAGTACTGGAGACCCCTCCCCAGAGGAGAATGGGCTCCCTGTACGGGCCACCAAAATTGTTATAAATGAATTTCCGATGCCACAAAAGAAACAGCACTCAAACATATATTTAGTTTCCTCAGCAAGGCAATTTACTTTTGCAAAAGGGTGCCACTCGTGTCAATCAAGATCGCAAGTGCACACCAAACAAAGGAGACCAGGGAGTTTTTATATCGTTAACGCGATCCCTATGTCTGTGTCCTTCCCCATGGGCTGGGGTCAGACCACACAATCTGAGATAACCCGATTGGCTACTTATAAGTATTTTTTTTTAATATGGAAGGGAGGGGGATGTGAGTTACAGTGGTGGAGTGTGTGAGACGTGCAGTTTCAGGGGAACAATGGGTACAGGTAAACAAGGGAACAGATGTGAGTTACTGATTAGAACTCACGGGAAGTTGCAGCCCACATCATGCACACAGTTACTGTTTACAGTAACTAGGGGCAAGGAGAAACGAGAAAGTTGAGTTTGAGAACAAAGGGTAAGGAAGTTAACAGGCTAAACCTTTTGAAGAGAAACTCAGAAAGATTCATTGTATTTTACATGTATTTGAGTACCTGCTTTCAATTCTTATGAGAATATACTTGGAGTGGAATTGCTGGGTTATATGGTATTTTTATGTCTAACCTTTTGAGGAATAGCCACACTTTCCAAGTGGCTAAACCATTTTTCACTCCTAACAGCAATATATGAGGATTCCAATCTTGACAGTATTTATTTCTTCTTTTCTTTCTTTAATATAGCCATTCAAGTAGATGTGAAGTGATATCTAACTGTAGTTTTACTTTGCATTTCCCCAATGACTGTGATATTGAGTGTCTTCTCATGTGCTTATTTGGTAGTTTGTACATCTTTGGAAAATTACCTGTTAAAGTCTTTTGGACACTTTTTAATTGGGTTCCCTTTTTGTTGTTCAGTGATAAGACTTATTTATATATTCTGGATTCTAGATCCCTTATGTATATATAAATAATATACATTTTATATCTAAATATGGTATTTTCTCCCATTCAATAGGTATTATTTCACTTTCCTGATAATGTCCTTCAATATGCAAAAGTTTTCAGTTTTGATGATGTCTTATTTATGTGTCATTTTCTTTTTTTTCCCCCATGCTCTTTGTGTCACATCTGAGCACTCATACTAAATATAAGGTCATGGAGTTCTGTCCATTAGTTTTCTAAGAGTGTTATAATTTTAGCTCTTATATTAAATCACTGATCCATTTTGAGTTAATTTTGGCATATGGTGTGAGGTATAATCCCAGCTTCATTATTTTGCACATAGATATCTGGTTATCCCAGCACCATTTTTCAAACAGACTATTCTTTACTCAATGTATGGTCTTAGCATTCTTGTTGAAAATAAATCGGTCATATGTGTATAGAGTTTCTTCCTGGACTCTCAGTTTGGCTCTGTTGTCTATATGTCATTCTTTATGCCAGTACCACACTGTTTTGACTACTATTGTTTTGTAGTAAATTTTGAATCACCAACATGTGAGTTTTCCAGCTTTGTTCTTCTCTTTCTACATTGTTTTTGTTATTCTTGGCCTCTCTGAATTCCATACGAAGTTGTGGCATGACTTTTACATTTCTGCAAAATAAAAATCTGTGAAATTTTCATAGGGATTGTGTTGATTCTATAAATAGCTTTGGGTAGTATCATCATCTTAACAATATTAAAGTGATGATAAGTAAATATGCATGAACTAAATAAATATCCATGAGCACACGGTATTTATTTAGTTTTTCTTAAAATCATTGAGCAATGTTTTATAGTTTTCACTGTACATAAAAATCACATACTCCTTGGTAAATTTTATTCTTATATATGTTATTTTTATAAATGCTATTGTAAATTGAATTGTGTTTCTAATTTTCTTTTCAGGTTATGTGTTGCTGGTGTAAGTACTACAACTGAATTTCGTGCTCTGATTTTTTTGTGTGTTGATTTTGTATGCTAAAACTTGGCTTAATTCATTTCTTAGCTTATCTGTGTGTGTGTGAGTGTGTGTGTGTATGTGTTTATTCCCTGGGATTTTCTGTATATTGGATCAGATAATCTGTGAATAGAGATAACTTTACTTTCTTTCTTCCAATCCTGATGCCATTTTTTTTCACTTTGCTATGGCTGAAACTTCCAGTACAATGTTAAATAGCAGTAGTAAAAGTGAGCATTTGTTCCTTGATCAAAGTTGTGAACATCAAGTATCTGAGACAGGTCTCAATCAATTTAGTAAGTTTATATTGTCAAGGTTGTGGACGTACCTGCGAGACAGTCTCAGGAAGTCTTGACAACATGTGACCAAGGTGGTTGTGGTGCAGCTTGCTTTTATACATTTTAGGGAGACATGAGACATCAATCAATATGTGTAAGATGTACATTGGTTCTGTCTAACAAGGCAGGACAACTTGAGGCTGGGCTTCCAGGTCATAGGTAGATAAGAGAAAAAAGGTTACATTCTTTTGAGTCTTTCGTCAACCTTTCACTGAATACACAATTTACATGTGAGAGGGGGACAGAGAAAGAGTCACTTATGCTTTAGTCTGGTTCAGTGAATCTACATTTTTACATAAACAATAGGGCAGAGAAGGCAATCGGATATGCACTTGTCTCAGGTGAGCAGAGAGATGACTGAGTTTTGTCTGTCCTTTGCTCTGCACCTGTGAAGATAAGCTATCGATTTACATTACCAAGGTGAAGTTCAACAGAACTGTCTTAGAGCAAAGATCTTGAGGCCCACAAGGAAAGTCCTTGTGGGCAAATTGTGAAGGAAGAACGTAACTGTTTTTAATCTTTGTAGCTATCTTATTTAGAAATACAATGAGAGGTAGGTTTGCCTGAGGCAGGTCCCAGCCTGACTTTTCCCTTTGGCTTAGTGATTTGGGGGTCCTTTATTTCATTTTCTTTTAACAGTCCTAACATGTTCTGTGTGCACTTGAGAAGAGTGTATGTTCCGCTGTTGATGGGGAGAGCATTCTACATATGTCTGTTAGGTCTAGTTGACCTAACATGTTGTTTAAGTCCTCTATTTCTTTATGATCTTTTTTCTGGTTATTCTGTTCATTATTGAAAGTCGACTAGTAAGTCCCTATTTTTGTAAAACTGTCTATCTCCTCTTTCAATTATGTCAGTGTTTGCTGCTTATTTTAGGGCCTGTCACTCAAGAGAGGTTACAGCCCACATCATGCACACAGTCTTCCAGGCTGCCAAGAATACATGTGATTTCGTTTTTAGGCCTGGCTTCTGAGATATTGTTCCAAGGTCGAAGCAGCTTATTATTTTAACAGTGTTTGGTCAGAAGTTGTGTTTAAATCTCTAGTGCCAGTGAGGCTTCTGCCCTCTGTTGTTGGATCTGTGTGCAGCATGAGGAATATTTCCAAAAATTTTTTATATCCTTTTGTCATTATCCTGAGCGTGTGGAGCTTAGCACTTGCATACACCTTCCCAACCTCAAAGGAACAATAATGAAGGCTAAATTAAGAGATTTCTAGATAAACAAAAAACTGGGAAAGTATGTTATTACCACTGCCCTGCCAAAGATACTCAAGGAAATCTTTCCAAATAAAGGAAAGGACACTAGACAGTAATTCAAAGCTGTATGTAGAAATAAAGAACACTGGTAAAAGTAACTACATAAATAAATATAGAGGATGACATTATTTTTAATTTTTGGTTTATAACTTCTCTTTTTCTTTACTACTTGATTTAAAAGACAAATGCATAAAATAATTATAAATCTATATTGTTAAGCACATAATGCTTAAAATGTAATTTGCAACAATAACCAAAACACAAGGATGGGAGATAAGTAGAGCTATATAGGAACAAAGTTTTTAAATACTGTAGGGGCTAAGTTGGTACTAATTCAAAATAAATTATTGTGTATTTTAGATTGTTAATTATAATCCTCAGGGTAATTACTAAGAAAGTAACAAACTGTGCCATATAACAGAAACATACAAAAAAGAAAAAAGAAGGCAAAGTAATAACCTAGAAAGTCAAACACAAAAGAACACAGCAATAAAAGAAATACTAAAAAAATACTAAATAGTAAATAATAATAAATACTTAAAAAATTATTGTGGATACATATAGAAAGGCAGGAGTCCTTTTTTAACAGTAACTATTTTAAATGAAAATGGATTCAACTCTTCAATTTAAAGGAAGAGATTAGCAGAAGGATAAAATAACAAACAACCAAAATGACCAAATTATTTATTGTCTAAAAGAAACCCATTTTAGATCTAAAGTCACAAACAGGTAAAAAGTGAAAAGATGTAAAGATATTCTGTGAAAAGAGGAATCAAAAGAGAGCTCTGGTGGCTATCAGACAAAATAGACTATAAGTAAAAATCGTTACCAGTGACAAAGAAGTGCATTATACATGGATGAAATAGTTTTTTCATCTAGAAGGTATAATAATTATAAACAAATACTACCTAACAACAGAACCTAAAAATATATAAAATGAAATCTAAAGGGGAAAATATACAGTTCTACAATAATAGTGGACAATTTCAATACCTGACCTTCAATAATGAATAGAACAATGAGACAAATTATCAATAAGAAAATAGAGGACTTGACAACACTGTACACTAACTAAATCTAATAACATACACAGAACACTGCACTCAACAATAGCAGAATGTCAATTCTTCTAAAGTACACTTGGGACAGTCTCCAGCATAGACCATATGTTTGGTTGCAAAACAATTCTCAATAAATTTTAAAATATGGAAATTATACAAAATATTTTCTTTGACCACAACAGAATAAAACTAAAAATCAAGAAGAGAAGGAAAACAACTCACAATATGTGGAAAGTAAACATCACTCTTACCTAATGTGCCAAAGACGAAATCCCAAGGGAAACTGGAAACTACTTAGAGATAAATATAAATGAAAATACAATTACCAAAACTTAGAGGATGCAGTTGAAAGCAGTGCTCAGAGACAAATTCATAGCTGTAAATGCCTAGATTAAAAAGGGTAAAGATCTCCGACAAATCACCTAAATTTACACCTGAAGGAGCTAAAAAAAGAACAAAATAAATTGAAAGCTAACAAGAGAAAGGCACTAGAGGTTAGTATAAAGGTTAGAGCAGAAATTGTAGAGCAGAGATAAATGAGATAGAGAACAGAAAAACAATAGAGAGTATCAAAGTTTGGTTATTTGAAAATATATTTGAAAAATATAGATTGGCCAAGGGAAAAGAAAAAGAAGTCTTGAATTACTTATACCAGTGATAAGCACAAGACAAAACTTTTTTGCACTTAAGGCCTGATTGGTTGTATTTAAATGTCACCTCTACATTAGAGGACCAGAAGAACACCTTATTTAGCAATTTAAAACATAGAATAAAAACGCACACAACGGTCTGGAAACAGTGAAGAATGCCCACTTTAATAATAATAATACTAATTTTTTTATTAATTTTACATTTGCAAAATAAATTTACATCACTTTTCTTCCTCTTTGGTTCATTTTATACAACTCAGATGGCTCTGCTTTTGTTCATCAGTTGTCACACTAAAGTAAATAAATATGTTAAATTATGTAGGTTTGCTGTAATAAACCCAAACCAGTAGAGCTAGATCTAGTTATTCCAGCAATCTTATTTGCAACTCATTCCGATTGTTGAAACAATTATTTATTTTTATAATTTTTAAAAACTTTAGCCAGATGAGATATTGTGTGTGTGTGTGCATGCATGTGTATGTACACATAGAAGTTTGCTAGAGAGCAGCGTGAGAGACTGAGTACCACCGCCCAGAGAGAGGTAAGACAAACAAGCTTACATAATGGTCCAACTAACCCTTAAAAGACTTGAGCGGTCAAAGACTCAGTTACCCCCAAAATAAACCAGAGGCTGAGCAATGGGGGAACTAGGGGATCTATCACCTCAATGAAGTGTCAGTGACTGACACGTTTAGAAAGCAAAGACTAAAGCAGGATGTCTGGACACAGCTTACCTGTTACACTGGAGGACACAGAGCAACAGTAGCCACTTTTCAGGCAAAGATCAGGGAATGTGATCCGTCTTGGGTCTGCAGCTGAGGGTCCCTGGCACTTCCCCAGAGGGCACTGGCAGCATGTCACTGGCCCTCCACTTCACCCACTGACAATGTCTTAATGGTCCCAGAGTGTGAACCTGGGCATCCCTCTTATTGGTCCCAAGGGTTCTCCCAAAACAGATACTATTCCTTCCAGAGGCTTGGCCAAATCCACTGCTACACTTCCACGTGCAACTCAGCCCCAGAAAGGGAGTCTCTTTTTGTCCTGTGGGGTCTCTGAGTTTGAGGTAATGCCAACATACTGGAGGTTGTAGAAAATAACCTATGTAGTCAGGCAGTCACTTTAAAACTTAAGCAATCTACATGCAATATTAGCTAGTTTTTACATCTCAGTAACACTTTTTACCAAAATAGTTTCTCCACACAACTTATAACGTATAGGACAAATTCAAAAATATTGCTGGAAATGGCTGGGTGCGGTGGCTCATGCCTGTAATCCTAACACTTTGGGAAGCTGAAGCGGGTGGATCACTTGAGGTCAGGAGTTCCAAACCAGCCTGGCCACCATGGTGAAACCCCGTCTCTACTAAAAATACAAAAAAATTAGCTGGTTGTGGTGGCAGATGACTGTAATCTCAGCTACTTGGGAGGCTGAGGCAGGAGAATTGCTTGAACTGGGAACATGGAAGTTGCAGTAAGCTGAGATCACCTGCTACACTCCAGCCTGGGAGACAGAGGGAAACTCTGTCTCAAAAAATAAAAATAAAAACAAATAAATAAATAAATTGCTGGAATATAATATAAATATGTTTTAAAATTCAGTGTTGAAATTCCTATGGGAAAGAAAAGGAGACACACTACTTTTCCACTTTCTATTTCGTGTCTATGGCTTCAAGTGCAAAAAAGTTCTGTCTTGGTGCTTATCACTGGTATAATGATTATTTTTGTTTTCCTGACTTTGGTCTTAGGAACATGAACCTCTTTGTGGCTTTATGGTAATGGAGTATTTCTAGTTGTTTAATCTCAAGAAATTTTTTTTACAATGTGTAAGTGATTATTGTTTTCAGGTTAAATGATTGGTATTAGTGTATATAAACTAAAATTATCTCAAAATGTATTATTTTTCTTAACTTGTTATTTTTAAATACTGAAAAATAAATGAAAATTGATAAGCCTTTAGTCATATTGAGCCAGTTAAGAGTTTTTCTTTCAGATTTTATAATCAAGAGTTGCTTATAAATATTTATGGCATCAAACTCTTCCAAGATTAGTCATCTTAAAAAAATGGGACATGAGTCACAAACTGGTTTGGTTTTTCGAGAATTCTTGATGTGAATTCCACCTTCACTTGACCATGTGTATCCACATGAACGTACTCTCTCTCTTGTTCCTTGTTACCAAACTAATCTGAGAGAACGTGGACTCATCACATCATCATTATCATGCTCAAATACTTAAAATGATTCCTTTGCCCAACAGACTCTTTGTTTTGGTACAGTGGAGTCATAACTGG